>NC_000006.12:122040486-122343517 GCF_000001405.40 Homo sapiens
AACAATATAATCACTTTTAACCTGTACTCGCATATGAATTTAGCATTTCCTCAACTTAGAATAGTGGTTATGAGTGTGAGATATGGAATTTAAATCAGTTTGGGCTTGAATCCTCTGTAATTTAAAAGCTGCATGACCCAATTTAATGTTCTTCACTTCTCTAGGTTTCAGTCTCAGCATCTCTAAAATAATATGTGCTTTATAAGTGCTATAATAAACAGAAATTCTCTTGGTGTATAATAAGCACTCAATTTACTATTTTTATTATTCCTGCTTTTAAAAAAATCAGATACAGGCAGTCATAGCTTGAAGCATCTTTCCTTTGGCAATAGACTTCAGGGAAACATACTGAAGTAAGCACAAATGTCTCCTAATGAGACTGAAACTTTAGTATCGAATTGCCATGTGACTCCATCAGTGATGAGTGAGGATAAAAATCTAAAAAGCACTCGTTAAGTTGAAAATGATACAGTATCTTATCCAATGGAAAATTATCCCAGTTATTCTGACATTGGAGAATCATGAACCGGGGCCATGAAAACATTTCAATGCTCTGTGGAGTAAGTGAACATTTATACACATTTATTCACAATTTGCTGTGTCTCCTGATCTACTTTAAATTTTAAAATATTTTATTTTACCTTTTTTATGCTTTGGTTTTACCTTAGAAAGTATTGGCTAACTTTTTGCTTCTTTCCCAAGCTTTTGTGTTGGAAGAAAATCTAGGAAAATCTCCAAAGTATCCTCAGAAATAACTGATAATGGTGCTTTCAAGTTTTCTGAGATTACTAATAGAAACAATGACACCATCATATTATAAGTCATTTTAATGAAAAATATATTACTTTCCATATTGCAAAATAGTTGAATATTGGAATATAGAAATAATTATTGTTGCAAAATGAAGAGATCACCTATTTTTAAAAAACATATAACCCTTCTAAACTCAATAGGAGAAATAACATCTAATAGCATGGCAAGGAGACATTTCAACATAATACAAAGGATTAAGACTGCTAGATCTGACATCAGACTATTGGGTTTTAGTTTCTGCTTCTCCTGATTGCTAACTATGTTTCTGGGAAATTACCTACTCTGCATTGATTTTATTAACTGTTAAATATTAATATAGTAATAATAATACCTGTCTTATTTTCTGTTTCTGTTAGAATGTGAAAATTATTTAGAAGAAGGCTTGACAGGTATTAACTGTTCAATAAAGGTGTTGTCAGTTAATATTTTTTAACTACTCAAACCAAGAGGGCAATAAAATACCCAGATTCCCTTACGTTAAGATGTTCCAATTATTTATGAGTATGAATTAGAAAATAGCCTTCTTAGAGCAACAGACTATTTTGTGCTGATTTTTGCAACCCTAGTATCCCCTCCAGTGCCTGCGTGTAGTTGGCAGGTGATAAACCAATGTGGACCACACCTCCCCAAGACAGGCATGCCTGGATCCCTGAGTTTAACCTCAACTTTGAAGTCTTTGCCTCAGAAGCCCCTTCTCGTGACACCTAGTTAAAAACAGTTGATCACTCCCACCCTTCTCAGCTCACTACCTATTTTCCTCACATCTCTTAACACTTTCACAAATTTTCTTTTATTTGCTTCCTTATTATTTTTACCCTACTAGGATATAAAGTTCACAGAGCTCATGAGACTTGTTGGTGTTTTAATTTCCATCACATCAGTGCCCAGAACAGTGCCGGAAACATAATAGTTTCTCCACAGATATCTGCCAAATGAAGGAATTTATTTTTGGATGAAGACATAGTGTTATGAAATAGGACAGTAAATTGTAAAGAAGAGATACTTCTTGTTTTTTCATCTTGTTGCATTTTGGGTTTTCTAGAAAGCGAACTTCGGTTTTGAGATGTTTACTAGGGAGTGTCACTTGGATCAATACCTGTGGAAGGAGAGGTGAAATGTGGGGTCGATCAAGGGAGGAACCCACCTATGATTCAGACCAGCAGCCTTGGCCATCTCGGAGTTAATGTGGCTCAACTTCATATTTTTCCTGTGTTAAAACCACATGGCCTTTTCTTCACACCTTTGCCTCAATCAGTCATTGTGTGTGGCCCACCCACAAAATGATGTAACCTTGGCAGCTCACCTCTGCAGCTGAGGTGATCTGAAAGGGCTGACAGCTGAAGGCTGTGGGGCAACAAGTCCTCCTTCCTTACAGAGGGATCTGGGTGGGACGTCACATCACCACACATTCTGTTTTTCCCATTCTTTTATACTTTTCATTTATTCATTCAACAAATACCAGTGTGTATTTTCCATGAGCCAAGCACCATCTCAAGTTCCAGAATGTTAACACTGAACAAAACAAAGTCCTTTCCCTCAAGGAGCTAACATTCTAGAAAGGGAAGATAAGCAACAACCAAGCATACACGCATGTGTAATTAGTCAGGAAATAATAAGTGTAATGAGGAAAACCCCTTCAGGACTAAAGCTAGGAAGTGATATGTTAGCTGACATCTGAAGGAAGTGAGGGAGAAAGCCACACTTACACAGAGCATACTAGGCAGTAGCACCAGCGAGTGAGAAGCCCTAATATATTCAAGCAGCCAGGAGGGGCCAGTGTGGGAGGATTGCAGGCCACAAGGCCAGTGAGGTAATTGGGGGCTGATTTATGAGTTGTATTCTAAAGTTCAGATTTGGAAACAGATTTTTTTTCCAGTAGTTTCCTGAATTTCTGCCCGAAATTTACTCTTTTATCCTGACTAGGGATATTTAGTTTGAGATTTCATGATTCCTCCTATGTATATACTTTTCCATGGACTTATTCGACTGTTTACAAGCAAGGGGCACGAAAAGTCTTTGTAACCAATGATTATAATTTTCTTTCACAGTTGAAATCTCCCAGATGTTTGCTGTGTTTTCCACTATCCCGAGAGAGGCTTTAGATGCGTCTGCTTGTGGAATTAACATGCTACGTCTCATTTTCCTTTCCTTGGAGGATGTGTTCTTTTGAGAGGTTTTATTTTTAATTACTTTTCCTTTCTATTGTTAGTGTCGGTGATTTGAGATGGATACGACATCTATTTTGGTACACAGTGCTCCATAACATTTGTCACAATAGCAGAAGTACTGCTAGACAAAACTAAAACCAAAAAGGCAATGTTCTGCACTCTAATCAGGGGGAAAAATGAGTCATTCCTCCTAGTATTCTTTAGAGAAACCAGGTGGTTTTATCATAAATATTCTACTTAAACATATGTAAGTCATTATGCATCACAAAGGAGACAGGCAAACAAGATCAAAGTTCAAATCTTCAACTGGTATCAATCAAGAGAAGCAAGGACAGAAGATGGGGGTGGGATCAGGTATTCTCAAGGCCCAGAGGAAGCTAATTCACTGAATTGCAGCATCAAACACCTTGTCTCCAAAGCTCACTGCAGCACAACCCAGAGCAAACTTAAGCCAACTTCAGTTGGAGAAACTTCTCCAGCATCTGAGTTCACAACTGCATGCTCAATTTGTCCTGAGAGTCCTCAGAAGGATGGTTCTAGGAGAAATGGTGACTCCTTCTCATGCTTTGCTTGAGGCCTCAGAATGTACACCTATGCCAAAAGAAGTTTAGAATTACTCTCATTCAGCCAGAGATAAGGGAAATAATAGAAAATGAGGGGAAATGTTGCACAGGGTTGAACAGAAATTAAAAACTAGAGAATGATTTCTTACCAACCACATATATTCTTTTCCTCCCTGAAAGTAGGTGAAGAGTGCACTGTAATACTATGCCCTCTCATCTCTCTTTCATAACGGGAAAGACAGAAAACTGATCTTCCTTTGAGAGATGAACAAACTCTGTCTGATACACCCTCAATGGCCCTGATATGAGTTGGAGAATAGTCAGGGTCTACATAAAGGCAGCAAATTCTTCAGCAGGTGCCTTGCGAATAGCCTGCCAGCAGCTGACATTTGACATACTATCTTTGCTTTTCTACCAGAAAGAAGAATATAGAATTGAAATAACATTCCTTATTCATCCACAGCCAAGAAATGAATGACAGGGACCAAAGAGCCTTACAAGGCACACAAATTAAATTAAAAGCTTGGAGCCTTTAGCAAAGACAACAGTAAAATGGGGTTTCAGAAGTCCCAGATTTTTATTTCTCTTGTTTTTCATGTGTGCCTTCCTTTTTTAACTTTGCGTCTACCTCTGACTCTTAAATCACAGCCCTCCCCCTTTTTTTTCCTCTGGTCTTCTATGTTAGATAGGATGCTAACAGGATGGTACAAAGAAATGAGACACTGATATTGCCTGGAGAGTTAAGATGAACTTTATAGGAATGTAGGGCACAAAGTTGAAGTGAACTTGATAGATGGAAAGCAAATGGATATCCCAATCAGAAGTAAAAAACAAGAGCATGCAGTACACACCAAATAGTTTTTGCTGGGAACAGTGGGAAACTGTGCCTGTGGCAGAGGTTGGGAGATGGTGAAAAAGGAGGGGTTGTGGGTGGGCTACGGCAGCTGCTAGGAGCCTTAGTAGAGATAATAACTTTCTTTACATGTCATGCACTCCTGCTCTGTAAATTCCTGCCTCCTCCCCATGACTACAATGTAACTCCATTCCTTAGTCCCAGTTGAAAGGTCCAGTCATTTTCTCCTGTTCTGAGATAGACTGAGTTCTTATGCTGATGGGGATGAAGTTTTGGATGAGGATGAAGAAGAAATAAAGAATCTTCTTTTGGTTCCTGGACCATAAAATATAAAATTCATATATCATCAAGAGTTCTTTGCAAACAACAGAATGGTTCCATTAAGCAACTATACATATATATATATATATATAGCAACTATATATATATATATATATATATATATATATATATATATATATATTATTAGGATACTAAGAACATAACAGAATCATAAGAATATATGAACAAACTTAGGGAAACAGAAGAATCTGACTCTTTGGATCTAGTATCAAGATCTCAGGGACCATCTCCTTAGAGTGCTGCAGTTGAAATGCTCAGATCCAATCACTTTCCTTTTTCATTTGCCTTCCCTTGAGATACAAATTTCCACATGGAAATTGTGATTGACCTAGTGTAAATCACATATCAACTTCTTTGGGATGGGATTAGGGTTGAGGAGGGAGAGATAATCCTGTAACTGCCATCCCAGCAAAACCAGTGCTAATGGGAGAAGGTCAGACATGCACCCAAAAGAAGGGATACCCAGAAGACCAAAACCAGATGGGTCCATTATAATTTGGGACAGGACGTTCATGTTTTCTATCATGACAACAAAAAATATGATGAGGTACAATGGCTCAGGCCTGTAATCCCAGCACTTTGAGAGGCTGAGGCAGGGTGGGCGGGATTGCTTGAGTCCAGGAGTTCGAGACCAGCCTGGACAACTTGGTGAAACCCTATCTCTACAAAAAGTACAAAAATTAGCCAGGTGTGGTGGGTTGTGCCTGTAGTCTTGGCTACTCAGAAGGCTGAGGCAGGAGGATCACTTGAACCCAGGAGGTGGAGGTTGCAGTGAGCTGAGATAGCACTACTGTACTCCAGCCTGGGTGACAGAGTGAGACTCTGCTTAAAAAAAAAAATTGCAGAAGAAAAAGGAAGCTGGGAGGGAGTGGGGAGTAAGGAAGAGAGAGAAAATAAGTAATTAGAAATGTCAGCAATCTCAGATGTCAGGTTTGCAACCCAAGGAACTCAACAAATACACCGTAAAAATCAATAGCACGCTCCTATGAGTAACTACTATGTGCTAGACACCATTATAAGTGTTGCAGATATAAATCTTATTTAATAGTCTCAACAATCCAGTGAGGCATGTCAGGTGTTCCCAACCCTTTTTAAGCCTTAGAATTATATGAGGAGATTTTTAATAATAGCAAATAAGGGGGTAAGCTCCAAGCCTCACTGTTGTTTAAAAGCTCTTCATTTGATTCCAAATGCGAAATGGGTTAATAATCAGTGAAGGGCCAGGCACGATGGCTCACGTCTGTAATCCCAGCACTTTGGGAGGCCAAAGTGGGCAGATCACGAGTTCAAGAGATTGAGACTATCCTGGCCAATATGGTGAAACCCCGTCTCTAATAAAAATACAAAAAATTAGCTGGGCATGATGGCACGTGCTGTGGTCCCAGCCACTCGGAGGCTGAGGTAGGAGAATCGCTTGAACCCGGAGGTGGAGGTTGCAGTGAGCCGAGATTGTGCCACTGCACTCCAGCCTGGCGACAGAGCGAAACTCCGTCAAAAAAAAAAAAAAAAAGAAAGAAAGAAAGGAAGGAAGGAAGGAAGGAAGGAAGGAAGAAAGAAAGAAAGAAAGAAAAGAATCAGTGAAGTAGGCATGATCAACACCTCCATTTTTCAAGAGAAAAACTCAGCTCAGAGAGGTTAACTAGCTCAATAATTACATGATAAAGCCAGTCTGGCTCTAAAATTTGAGTTCATACACTATGTGGTGGCAAAAGCATCCTCTGGCTTAAACATAAATGGATTCAAAGCCTTATGCTCCACTTAGTAAGTATTTGGTCTTGAGCAAATAATTTAACCCCTAATTACTCAGTTATAAAGTGGGCATAATAGTAACTACCTCACTGTGCTTGTGTGAGGATTCCAGAAAATCAGATGCATGTAACATATAAGGTGCTCAGTAAATGGCAGTTACTATTCCTTATACTGAGATATCAGTATTATTAACAAGCTCTCAGGTGGATACAGAAAGCCTCCCTCTTGCCAGGATTTGCTTATTTCCTCCCTGCTGTGAGCTGCTGCCTTTTTCATTGCACATAAACATTGAATTAGCAGAATATAATATTATATATAATTCAGGTCTACTTACTCTAACCTAAGACCTTGAGCTGTTTTCATTTCTAATATATATGTATTAAGTTGAAATCATTATATTCAGAACAGGATTTTAGGCAAAGTCTGGAACTTTAAATGAAATCTGCAACTCATCCTATGGAAAGTGTCTTCTGAAAAAAGACGTGTTATACGACACATGTGTTACATTATCCACTGATGTAATTGGCATTCACTTGTTTTTGTTGGTTTCAGTCTGACCTTTCCTAAAACTTCTCTCTTTCATTTCCATTACTTTATTTGTGAGAAAATGTGGTCTGAAGGTTACACCTGGAGGCAAGAAATGCCATAATTCTAATTCCATAGTCTAATCCCAATTGACTCTCACTGGGGTCCTTGAAAATTAACAATTAATAATTCTAAGATTTGTACCTACAGAGTAAATCAAATTATATAGTAAACCTGGTAACATTTTGAGAAATAAAGCATTAACATATGAAGATTACAAATGAATAAAATGTTTATATTTGCTTTGAGCACCATATTTCCGAAATGACAGCAATATCTTTAAACAGCAGCTATTCTGAAAGGACTGTCTAGTCTTCCTGTCAATAAAGGAAGCTCAAGAGAAGAAAAGTCTTTGCTCAGTACGAAAAAATTCTGCTCAAGGTGTATATGGGAATAGAGATGTGCAATATGCATGGCTTACCATATACAATGAGAGCAGTTGTAAGGTAGAGCAGGGTATATGAAGATATCCAACACTAGTCTCAATTTAACTAAAGTACTGATTCATTGAGTAGTGGGAGTATTTTTAATTACGGTGTCTTGTATAGTTTCAGTAAAGTTTAGGAAAAATTGAATAGTGAAAATGATGACTTTGAAAAATCGAATAGTGAATTATTGACTTTGGGGGCAATATAAAAATATAACCATACATGTTGCTATTCCAATATCACATTTCTGCAGTTGTTACATGCATAGACATTACTGTTCACATGGCAGATAAGGACGAAAAGTGAAAAAAGTAGCCATCAATGTATTTCAAATATGTCAACAATTAAAGTTTATTATCTCAATTCAAGATGCCACTGTCAATGGTTCAAAACAGTATTTGAGGAACCCATTAAAATTAATTCCTTTACATCATTCTTAATATTTAGCACATTATCTTCAGTTTTCAGTAGAGCAAGAGAATAATTTTAAATGTTTTCACCTAATACATTTATGCTTTATAAAACAAAGTAGTGTGAAATAACTTTAATATTATTTGTATTTCTTTACTAAAGGCATTACATTAATAAACGTACCAAACAATTATTTTTTTGCTTTCATTCATTAAAGCGAAATTACATGTTATTTTAAAAATGTAAGTGTTAAGCCTTCCCTTCCATCCATTCTCCTTCCCCCATAATGCAACTCAGATTGCCTCAAGGACATGCTGTAGCTTTGTAAAGTAATGTTTTGCTGATACAGAAGACAATGATTCAAACATAGATTAAATTTCACTCTATAATCTTCAGGACATTTTAAAAATAGAAACTTGTTTGGAAAGTAGTGGTTTGGTGTTTACTGAACCTCAAACTTTCAGAAGGAATTTTTGATCTCTTATTCCCTCTCATAAATCTCTCAGCAACAAACCATATTTCAGTAACATTAAAAAAAAAAGATCGCAACTCTCCCTTTTACTGTACAAAGAATTTTCTCTCTTCTAGACCTTTTTAAAAGGGTATCTCATCTAAAACTCCATAATATAAGTATCTTCCTGGAGTTAATTATCATAATGCTTTCATCTTTAGGACAAGCGAATGTAGGAAATAAGACAAAAAATTTAAAAAGGAAAAGGAAAAAATTTTAAGATGATTTCCTGGGAGTTTCATTTTCTAAACTTTATTGATACTTGAAAATAATTTCCTATTCATCTTCGTTGTGATTTGTTTTGAGACTGTATGAAAGGTTAACTAATTTTTTTCACTTCTTTTCCTCCCATGAATCTGAGTTTTCCTTTGCAGAGCTGATTAAATACACTTGAAGGCTACTGCGATATTTTTCTGATAATCTTGGGGAAAAGCAAAATAAAACCAAAAAATCATGTAAACTATATTATACAAATAATAAAAAGAAGCAATTCAGTGTATGTGTTATACTGAAAAATGATTTCTATTACTTTTGTTCCTTGCCCCATTGCTGTTTGAGCAACTCTGCTCCTTTCTTTCCTCTCAAACGGAGCAAGTCATGACATAGCCCCCTCACGCTGACTACAGCAGCCTCTGGAAACACTGCCAGCGGCACCCGCAGAGCAAATGCAGCACTCCTGAGCGAGGACCACAGGGCAAGAATTGTTTTTAATGTGGGTGTACATTAGTCTCGTTACTTTTGAGTCAAATAAATATAGGAAATTAAATTATGACTTACATAAGAAACAGGAACTTTTTAAAAGTTTTTCTTTCTTTTTTTATTTGGTTGCCTTCATAAGTGGTTAAGAAATAATACTGAATTACACACTTGCATCATTTTGGGGAATTCCACTTATGATGTTTTTGAGGAATTTGCAGCCATTAGTTAAGAATTTCATTTATACTTTCATGGTTAAAAACAACTAAAAGTTAGGTATTCAGATAATAAATTGAAATCACTTGGAATCAACTACGTGTTCTGTGAAGACCATTATTCTTCAAAAGACATTTTATGTATCTGTTATATTGAAATAACAGCGAGGTGTTATTCAGTTCATACTTGAAAATAATTTACTATTCATCTTCTTTGTGATTTTTTCAGGTATATTATTTTAAAAAGTAGACTAATAAATTAATTAAACATTGCATTCTCAGGTTGTCTCACAAGTGTAAGAGTCCAAAACATCCCTAAAATAAAAATCAATTTACACATTTTAAAAATGGTATTGTTCTAGCTCACCATTTAAAATATGCTGTGTGTCATGGTTTATATCTTACCAGTCGCCATTTTTATAATTTATCAGTGTCAATATGTCCATTCCACAAAAGAATCACATGAAAGATATATTTCTTGGGCCAGTGTATATTTGGCCCTAATTTTTTTACAATGAGAGGAAGTGCATAGGTTTTGCATGAATATACATGGGACAAATGAAACAGATCTGTGATGAAGCAAATTGCTTGCATGTGTGGCTTTATCTTTATAGACAAGTGGCTTACTCAGTCAAGCATGTAAGCTGAACTTGACTTCTGCTCTAGAAATTATCCCAACCTCTGCCATACTGCCCACTATACCTCTCAACTCTGCTAGAACAACTTCACTCTGCACACTTCACTGTGGCAGATACTGTGCTACACTGTGTTCTAGACACTGCAGGTACCAAGGACATACCCAGAGGGCTCACAGGGCAGCAGGCACAAGTAGTTACAAAATAAAATAGAGGAAAGCATAATTTATAAAGTTTATGGGGATTCAAAGACCACAGAGATTCTGCACCAATTTAAGGGGGCAAAGGGGTAATAAGAATTTCTTGGAGGACTCTTTTCAATAATAACGGAGGATTCCAAATGGTGAAGATAGTGGAGAAGTTGAAACGCCAGAAAACCCAGGAAAAAGAGGTAGGGAGGAAGACTTTAATGGTAGGCTAGGGATAAGCAATAGGATTAGCAATGTGTTCTACCTTCATTTCTCAAGCAAGACTTGAGCCAATTAACCATGAGCAAGACGGCTTTGCCATGGTAAGACGCACTTGTTAACAATTAAAAATGAAAATCTCTTTCATATGACTGGATACAGCTCTTTAACTCAGTTTAATGGAGCATTCAATGTCAATATAATTTGATGATATTACTTAGGACTGGTTTTTATTGCTTTATATATTTTAAAACTGAACATTTTCTTTCTATATATGCAATAATTTAGCGTGTAAACTAATTGGGGAAGCAATATTCCAATTGGCCATTTTGGTTTATTCATGAAATGAACATGAGTGGTGTCTGTACTCTACCAAATAATTTGTTTATTCAGAGTAATACATTTCTGGAAACTTTATAGACTCCAATCCCAATTTCTCATCATTTTCATTTTTCTATTAGCATTTTTTGTGTTATTAGGAATCAAAACTAATCCATAAATAATAATGCTTCATAGGAATAGTATTTCATGTGTGTGATTCCTCTGGTCTGAAATGTATTGAGATTATGTCTGAACCTATGTCTATTTTGTTTACTCAAGAGAAGGAGTGAATTTTATCATATCTTTTGATTTGATGTTTTCTACAGATTTATAGCATCATATCACCATTCTTATTATTTATCAGAAAACAGTGATCATCCAGGTAAAATATTTTGCCCTCAAGCTAGTAAATGGCATGGCCATTATTCAGATATAGGCCTATTAAATTCCAAGCTACATATTATTTCCACTATATTACAATGTCTTTCTGAAAGAAAAACTATAAGTAAGAACTCACATGCAAAATTGCAGTGTTTCGTTTACATATAGACAAACAAAATTATTTCTGGGATTCATTTATCACTGGTGTTTGTTTATCCTTTTAGGTTGGACATAGTGAAATTTTAAGGTCTTAAACAGGCATTGCCTATTTCATAAACAAAAGAAAGCAGTTAACAGATATTCACTCAGATCATATGTATCCTGAAATTGGTAAGGCACTAAATATTTCACATCAACAGGGATAAAAGCTCAGCAGTGTTTGGGTTTGGAACATCCAACATTTTTTTCCCAAATCTGAAATTCATTTTGCCAAGGAATTTTTCCCTTAATTTTAAAACCATGTTTTGTGTAAAAGATAATAGAGAAATAAAATTCAAATATTTCTGATTCATTTATGGTCAGGCTCATAGATACAAAAGTATCTCAAGCACTAAATAAAGCATTTGGACTTTTTAAACAAATACAATGTTTAATAGAGTGGGGTGTAAATTTATTCAATATTAAAGAACTTAGGGTTAATTTAAAACCCAGGAACTATAGATAACATATGTCACACAGAAGTAAGGAAGAAGGGCAGGAAGAAAAGCTGGAGTGAAAGGATAGAGAGAGGAAGGAAAAGGGACGGGGAAAGGATAAAAGGAAGAAAAGAAATAAAAAGAGAGATGGAAGATAATTATGTCTCTGTTATTTTCATACTGCTTTATGATTTTAAATATACTTTCATACTTATTACTTCATATTTCCTCTACTTTTCAGGTATACTACTTCATATTTCCTAACAGCTTCGAGTGTGATGTCACAATTTCCATTTTATAGCTAACTGAAGAGCTGCAGATTGTTTATGTGAACAGCTTAAGGTCACACAGGGAGTTGAAAGACAGCTCCCTTAAAATCTTTCTGAAACAATTTGGCCTATAAATGGTAGTGCAGCTGTGATTTTAATCAAATCTTCTTAAGCAAGGGCAGAGCTGTACCTTTTGCACAGTGGTTCTCAACTTGAGGGTGCCTCAGACTAACCTGGAGGCCTTGTTAAAACACAGATTGCTAAGCCCCATCCCCAGAGGCTCTGACTCAGGAGCCCCAGAGTAAGGCCCAAGAACTTACACCTCTCTCAAGTCCTCGGGTGAGACTGATGCTGCTAGTCAGGAGACCGTCTTTGGAAACTGCCAATTTTGCCAACCTTCTGGAGCTTTGGCCTCTGTGTAGGGGTGAGCCACTGGGATGCGATGTGAGCCACTACTGCTCGCATCATACGTGAGCTAAGACTAGAAATAGGAGCTTAAATTTAGAATAAAATCTGATTTTTTTCTCCCTCATTTTTAGACTTTACACCAGGAAGAGTTCCTTTTAAAATTGGCCTGGGTGGCAGAGGTCAGAACATACACAATTCAACAACAACTTGCGCCACCCACCTCCAATTCCCTGCTCTACAGGACCATCCTGACTTCCACAGTGACCCGAGCACTGGCATTCCAAGGACTCAAATGACCACCTTCCTCGCCCTTCAATAAGGTTGCCTGGAATTCTTCTAAGTAACACTTATTCCTACACATTAGGGATTTTTCACCTCACATTTCCCTTGCCCAAGAGCAAAAAGCTCAGGGAATGATTGGCTTTTCAAGCTAAAGAGTGGGAGAGTCTGGGGCGGTTGAAGACAGTCTGGGTAGCATTTGAGGGGAGGAGAAATGCAAGTCCAGAGGTGGGGCTGCGGGGCAGGAGGGAGTGGATAGCCAGAGTAATAGGGCTACGGTGTTTGGAAGATGTGGGAGAAACATTCTGGAAAGACAGAGGGGAGGCACAAAGACAAAGGTGGCTTGCTTGCTCCAACAGCTGAGTTTACCCTGACAGGCTTCTGTGTTCACAGTGCCACCCTACCCTCCCAGCCCTAGAGGTGAACCGGTTGATGGGTCAATCTTGAGTAGGTCAGATTAATTTTTTTCAGGGCAAAGGAAAACACTGAAAAAAAGAGCTTAGCTAATGTTTCCAGGGCACCTTGAGAAAAGTATAATCTATAGGAAATGAGAGTATTGATAATATTAGACCCTAAATAATACTAAAACCATTTGAGTAAAAAACAATGATAAGACTTTGGGGCTGCAGGACTATGTCTCTGAGTCTGGGGCCTGTTCAAGAAGTCCTGCAAGAAAGGAGAGCCAGTTTTACCTTTAGAAAAGCTCCTGTACTATTTTCTTAGTTTGTAACTTTAACAGACAAAAGTTCAAGTTCTTCATCCCGAGTCGGGGTGATGTGAGGAAACTGTGACTGTGAATCTCACTGTCGTTTATTTTTCTTCAGTATCTCTCAGTGAAGAAAGTATTTGGATGAATGACAGAAAGCATCCTGAACTGTGCACCTGCAAAAGATATTTCACACATTCCTTTTTGGACATTTTGTTATTTTCCTCTAAGCCGATAGCCTTTCCATCTTGTGCAGGAAAGATCATTAAGTATTTCATAGGCATAAACATTTCATGTTCAAAACTTTTGGTACTTCAGTTGTAATATTGTTATTGTACTACATAAATCTAAAATAAAACCAGCTTCTCTGCCCAGTACCTATCAGCTGCAATTTAGGGGAAGTGCCTTTATATTTATATCCTATGGGCCCAATCAGGTAGAAAGAGAATTATTCTTTATCTTGTCTAATGTCCCCAAATCTCCCAGGTCCCAAGTCACAGAAAGGCAATGTGGTAGCATTCTTCTGGGGACTCATCAGATATATCCTCAAAGTACTTTTGTCAAATACATTATTCTAATCAATGTGAATCCTAAAATGTTATTATTAATAGTATAGTTATATGTTGTCAATTTTTTTTGGAATATGAATCATTTTTGTAAGTAATATGTCATTTGATTGTCTCAAAAATTCTATCAAGTTATCCCATTTTGTGGGTCAAAGAACTAAGGTTCAGGAACATGAAGGGACTTGCTTCAATTAATTGGTCAGGATGTGATGGCGGGGAGATTTGGAGAGGCTCCAGGGTCCAAGGTTGAGCCTTTGTGCTATTCTATGTCACTTGGCTTCTGGCAGAGCACAGATCTTAGATGTTTAGCTCTTCAGTCACAGGATGGAGAGGAGGGAAAGTCAGAAGCACGGAGGCGGTCCTGTTGTGTAGCACTGATTTTCAGAATCTTCCCCCAACACTTCATCTTCCTCCTTGTTCTTTTCCTGGCCAAGCCTTAATTGACCAGTTCTACTTCTAGTTAAGGACCAATTCCTTCTGGCCCAGTGCTACAAGGACATTAGCAATCCCACTCCTTCACGAAGCTGATTGTGAGTCATGCCAGTTCCTCCTCCAGGCAGAACCAGGTGTGGGCACTCTTTCTGAGCTCCGCATCGAACATGGGGACCTGTGATGCAGTGTTTTCAGCTCCCACTGGAGAGATGCAGAGAGGGCGATTTATCAGTGACAGTCAAAAAAGCTGGTTCTGCCTCTTTCTAGAGGCAGATGCAGGGGCCTAGATGTTGTTATTAATCATTCGTAAACGGTTCTGTGTTCAAAATAGCAGTGTTTAAATATTTCAGAACAGGTCCAGCCTCATAAAAAGTGGGTTATGGGCTGTCATGATAACATTTCATCTCCTTCACCATGTTGTGGCCGAGAGAAATAAGCTGTCACTGCCACTTGCATCCCTGACCCTCCAACATGCCAGGGCACAGCAGCCAATGGAGTGTGCTGGCAGCAAGGCAGGGGGGAGAAAGGCAGGACTACTCCATCAAGATACCACCATGAACCAAAAGGGCAATTTTCCCATATTTAGGCTGCCTGTTTGGGTTAACTATCAACCAAAGACCTTTGTTTTTAAACAGAACCTTTTTTCTCTTTCACATTTGATAAATAAAAGCCTTAGACTGAAATTCTTTCTGATTTTACTGCTTCCTTTAAGTTTTACCTCATGACATTTTGGATAGACTGAATGAAATCATAGTTTATTTCCCTCCCTATTCCGGTGCCTACCCTGCCCCGCACCTTTCCCACTTTCCCAGTTCTCGGAATCTGTCTGACGTAACTGTTTAGGGAAGATGGTATTAACCTGATAGCATCTGAGGAACACCTGCCTGCATTATCACTACTTTACTCTGAGTTAGAAACCCCGTGCCCTTTTCAATAACAAGAACAGGGAGAAACCATCGTGAAACACACCACTCAGAAAGGACAGTTTAGGCTCATGATAGGAAAGCAGTCTGCAGCAAACAACAACAGTAAAAAAACAAGAATGAATTTCAAAGAGTGTGGTATCTGGAAAGTAAACTAAATGCCATTTGAAAGTCAAGTCTTACACTTGTGTTTTCATCTCCCTCTGTTCTTACACAGCTTCATAGCTGTGAAAAATAGTCAATAATATTTGTATTTGCTTCTCTATTCATTTTTTTCTCTCCAGCTGATGATAATCTGGCTTTCCTCACCAATGCCAGTGCAAGTGAAATATTAAAGTAACCACTAATCTGGGGCTAAAATAGCAAGTGGACTCTGTTGCTCTGGGAGTAACCCCAACACTGCCCTAGTTTGGTGGTGATGCTTTGGTAGTCAATCAGTGTTTCCCAAGGGAAAAAAGTAGGATGCTAATGTAATCTTCAGTTCCACACATGCATTAGAATCAATTCCAAGCATGTGCAGGTTGTCATTCTTACTGGGTGTCTTTGCTAGGCGTGGACAGTGAGAGAAATTTTCGGTTTATTAGAGCGAATCCAATCCTCGGCTGGCCAAATAATGACAAGACTGCTTTGGGAAATGTAAAAGTAAGAGGCAGGCTAGGAGAGGGATTCCTAGAAAACCAGAAAAAATCTTGAGATAAACATCTTGAATTTCTCTATAGGTGAGACCTCTGGCATTTCTGAAAGAAGCTGAGGGTTCAACCAATACTATTAACCAAGACAATGAAATGAGGACACTATTAAGAACTAGGAAGAAACAGGGAGACTCACATGTCTAACTGGACCCGTTTATATTTGACATGTAGAGTCTATAGTAAGACTTCTGATTTTGAGGAATTCTTAACAAATTTTCTATAAAAACACCAAAATTCTAAAGCTAGGAGCCAGGTTTCTTGCACACTTTTCACAAATAATCTTTTAATTATTATTATTATTTAGTTTTTGATTTGGAAAAGAAAAATGCCATTCTACCTTTAGGCAGTTGGCTCAAAATGCTCAGCTCTGAGAAGAGGAGGAAAAGAAATGAAGATTTAGAGATTTTAGAGACAGAAGGATTTCTCTTAATAATATTCTTCCTCATTGGAACCTTTTTGGCCATTACAACTGTTATATTATGGTTTTGTATGTATCCGTTTCAGGTTATGCCCCTCCATCATCTGATCATCTTTTCCTTAAGAGCAGAGATTGTGCCTTATTCATTATATGCCCTTTAAAGCACTTAGCAGTAGTTTCCAGTAAGTGTTTAATGAATATACATAATCTTTGCCCAAATGCTCTAGAGAAAAAAAAGAGCCTGGGGCATAATATTATGTGTTAGTACTCCATTGGGGAGTGCATTCTCAGGGAAGAAGGAATACAGATAAAGGGGAGAGAGGCAGGGAAGGGGAGAGAATAAATACAAAGGGTGCATGACCTAGCTGGCCACTGCTTGAAATCAAGCATCACTAATTGATCTTATGGAATTGTCTTTAGAGCGAACATGTGGATAAAACATCTCAGGACAGCCCTTCCAGGGAAAAGAAAGAAGATGAATTTTTTAAATATCTCCTGTCTCTCATTTGGCAAAGATTTGCCACATACATAGCTCCCCTGCACTTTCAAGTTGCGTATGCCCAAGCCCTGAGTATGCCTGCAGCCCTTCTACCCGAAACAGGGGTTCGGTTAACCTGCAGCAACAGGTAGACACGAAGTTGATTGGACCACTATCATAGCATCAACTGGGACAGAAGAAGTGGACAAGGACCTGGAAGACATGTGAGACCGAGAGAATCACAGGTGGGGCTGAAGGGGTATCTGATACTTTGCTCACAAATTTGCTAGAGCTCTCAGACTAAGGACTGCCTGAAAAAGCAAGATTCCATAAAACTATCTTTGAGGTTTACTGGGACAAATGTCACTTGACAGTACCTGTGCTGTATGGTTCAGGTACTGTCTTGGAACATTTTTTTTAATGACAAATTTTCTTAACATTCAGTACAATGCCATTTACACTCTATATGAACCATATTTGCTGTGACATATATGTACCAAAAAATAATGCAACATAGTCCTGAGGTCAAGTTTATCAACTGAACATCATATAGTGGAACATACTGCTAACAGTACAAACTCTCATTCCTCCTTGAGAGTTTCCAATAGTGAAAAATCCAAGAGAATTTTTACATAAACACAGATAAGCATGGTGGGTCAGCACATTTCTTCCATACAGATAAATACAATCCAAAACTTATCACGTCAGCTTCTACTCTGATCCTGAGAGGAGATGAAGATGCTTGGATAAGAGAGAATTGTTTTTAAATTGTTCACATTCAAAGGGGTGGGTAAACACCCATACAATTGTATTGGAGTACTAGAGTTACTATACTGTGAATACAAATCCACTGAAGAGAGTGGTTACCTAGGTCCGGGAAAATGCAGGAAAGTTTCAAAAAGAGTTTTCATTTAGGTGAGGCTTTAAAGAATAAAGAAAGTCTCTAGGAGGCAGAGAAAGGGAATGGCATTCTAGACATAAACAACAGCAAGAGAGAAAGGCTCCTTTCCAGTAAACATAGTACTTATTGAACTAAGAAACATCTACTCATCTACGAACTTTGTATGCATATGGTGTTAGGGACTTAAGAGTTTCTCTCATCCAAACCCAGGACTTGAATGTGAATTTGAATTAGAATGAGGAGAAAGGATCGGTCCAAAGAAGCATTAGAATAGAAGCCAGAGAGGATACTGGTACTCAAGTCCCCAGGCACATCCAATGACAATGACAGAAACTCTCCTTTTACATCTCTGCTTCTTGCTCTTGGGTGATCAAGACCCATTACCATTGTCTAGTTTCCCAGTAGGACCTCAGTTGTCAACATTGCATTAAGTGATAGGGTATGGTCGTGAGCAAAGTGAAGGCATGGAGAGTTTCAGAAAATCCTGACCAGGGATGAAAATTTCCCTGGGTTCTACCTACCCACATGCCTTAACTAATTGAGCACAACCTTTGTGCTAGGGTCCATTATCTCTAGTGATTATTTTTATATATTATATGGTAATTTCTAAAAAGCATAAACATTTTAAAAGATTTTTGCTTTTTCTGCCTTTTTGCAAACTAGTAAAAATGCATTGCCTTTTTTATTTTTGAGACAGAGTCTGGCTTTGTCGCCAGGCTGGAGTGCAGTGGCGCGATCTCTGCTCACTGCAACCTCTGCCTCCCGGGTTCAAGCAATTCTCCTGCCTCAGCCTCCCGAGTAGCTGGGATTACAGGCGCACACCACCATGCCCGGCTAATTTTTTTTGTATTTTTAGTAGAGGCGGGGTTTTTCACCATGTTGGCCAGGATGATCTCTATCTCCTGACCTCGTGATCCGCCCACCTAGGCCTCCCCAAGTGCTGGGATTACAGGAGTGAGCCACCACGCCAGGCTGCCTTTTTCTGAATTTTGTTTTTGACGATTGATTTATATATATACTTACTTAAAAAATTTTAGAACACGATTAACGTTTTCTTCGATTCAATAATCCTCTAAAGTAGCATGGTAAACAGAAAGAGGGAAAATTTTATTTCAGGAAATTCTACAAAAAATGAGGAGTATATTTTTAAAAAGTGTTAACTTATATATTGCCTTCTCCATTAAAAAAATTCTGATTACCTTAAGAAAAACTGTATACAACTTTTTAGATGAAAATAATATATTATGCAACCTCTATTTTTTTTTTTTTTTTTTGAGGGTGGTGTTGGAATCCTTAAATAGGTTGCATTTTACTTTTAATTGACTTCTGAACACTCATGTGCTGTGCTGGCAATATTTACTAAAGAGTAATACTTTATCTTCTATTAGCTTAGAAATGTCATAATGTTGAAGCTCCACAGCTAAATTTCTATGGTGAATATCAACTACTTTTGGAACATATTGTTAACCTATTCTACCAAGTGTCAAAAATTTTGCTCAAGAAAGAAATGCAATTTCCTGGACTATGAACCAGCTTTTGGTGCATAGACACATATCTAATATACTTAATGTTAAATCCTGCAGTACTTGCATATCAATGTATTAACAAAAACCCAGAACGTTCCTTTAACTATTTACATACATTTCACAACTTCCCTTTCGATTCAGAATTGCTTCACCTATAATTTTTGTGCTTTCCAGAGCATTACAACAATGTGATACAATGGGGGTTGTTGTGAAAACCACTAGATCATTTCACCTACTCCAAAATGCAGGGGCAGCTTGCTTGCTTAAGTGTCTCAGGCAGATGGATCATATTAACGTCTGTGCACTACAGCTTGCCCTGGCTACCAGGGTGTTTCTGGATGCAGTTCAAAGCGTTGACTTTGATCTATGAAGCTGTATACATTTTAGGCCAGGAACTATTTATCCTAAAATCACCCATAGTGGGCAAGATGAAACAGGGAACCATTGTTGAAGCTGCCAGCATCATAATTCAAAGTTAGTAGCTTTCTCGGTAATGTCCACCAAGTTGCCATTACCTGAAGAATTCAACTGCACTTTTACTATCCTCTTAACTGTATAGCCTAATGTGGAAGATAAAAGTATAACTTTCATATAGCATAATATCTCATGTATTATGACTAAATAAAGTTAAATACTTTGGTATATTTAATTTACATGTTAATATCTTACATATCCTCATTAAAGTATGTAACTTTTTTTAAAGAAATGGAACATCTTAATTTCAGATAAAGTTTTATATGCATAAGGACTTATCACTATTAATGTAGATCCTCAAAATTAAAAAAATGAAATAATCCATAGTTTTTTAAAAAAAGGAAAAGTGATTGAATGTAAATAAGCCAAAATAACAAAAATAATTAAAATCACCCATCATTCTACTGATGCAGGGCAAGTAAGCCCCCAAATTGGGGCTTAGCCCAGGAGGATTCTTGGCTTCACCCAGGAAAGAATTCAAGGGTAAGCTGGTGGGGTTAGGCAGCAACTTTTATTGAAGCAGCAGCAGAGGTGTTATTCCTTGCAAAGCAGGGATACCCCATAAACAGTGTACCCAGAGCAGTGGCTCAGAGGCAGTTCTGCAGTCATATTTATACTCACTTTTAATTATGTACAAATTAAGGGACAGGTTATGCAGAAATTTCTAAAAATAGGGTGGTAACTTCTGGACCATCAGGTTATTGCCATGGAAAGGGATGGCAACTTCCAGGTGTTGCCATGGCAATGGTAAACTGACATGGACCGAGTGGGCATATCTTATGGGGAGGTGCTTTTGCTTCTTCCCTGTTTGAGCTACTCTTCAATCTGGTCTAGAGCCTGAGTTCTGCCTTCTACCTCACTACCACCCAGATTTTGTATAAGGTTTATAATGGCTTTGAATTCAGCAAAAGGCTAAATCTACCATTAACCAAGTGAAGAGACATTCATTTAGCTCCTTATTTATTCATTTATTTATTAACTAAAACAGTGCTACAGACTGAGTTAAAAAGACAAATGAGACTTGGAACCTAGTCTAAATTAAGAGAAATCATGTCAATAATTAATTACAATATACATACTATAGTGTTGTAATAGTAACAGTTGAGGAATATTTAAACGAGAGTAGTGGCCCAGATGACTTAGTAACTAACTCAGTTAGAGGCAGTGAAAGTAAAATTTAAGGAAACTTAAGCTAGATCTTGAGGAATGAATTCAACCGTATCAGACAGACCTAGGGAGAAGAAAGAGGAAAAGCACTAACTCTGGTACTAAGGTCTGGATTTAAATTGTAGGCTCTACCTGACACCTGTTATCTAAATGATCTGCAAGTTACTCAATTACTCTGTGCTTCAGGTTCCTCCTTTCTAAAAAATAAGGATAATATTTACTTCAAATAGTAGCTTGGGGTTTACATGAATTCATCTACCTAAAGTACTTAGAACAGCATTAGCTACTGTTATAGACATGTGAAACATCAGGACACATTTCAGAAACTGTAATTATTTGGGCCCTTGAGTACAGAGAGAGCTGGGGATTTGTAGAAAATGAGGCTAGAGGATAAGTATGGGTCAGATAATGAACAAGCTTAATTACTTGCAATGATAAGGAGTTCGGACTTTATCCTCAAGGCAAAGGAGAGCCAACTGAAATCTATAAAACAGAGGGGTAATGTAATACAATTTTTGTATAAGCAAAATAACTCTGGTGATAATGGGGAGAAGAGAATGGATCTTAGAAAGAGACTGGAGGTGGGGAAAATAGTTCAGAAACAAATCACTACCACAGTCATGCATTGTCAGCAGTTATGGAAGTTCCCTTTGCATTTTCCACATTTTTAATGAAAAGCTGAAAAAAAAAAAAGCTCAAATTGACGTTACCCTAAAAAAGGAAAGAAAGAAAGAAAGAAAAAGGCAAACAACATAAGAAAACAACTCATTAATGCCATTTTCATTCTTCCTTTTCTATAAAACACTCCACGTATCTCCAAAGCTCTATTTGCATCCCACCTCCTTGAGGTCTCCTCTAAGGATTCCAGGCCTAGGGCCAGGGCTATGCTTCATTCACATCTCCAGAGAACTAAGCAGAGCTGTAGATCTAAATATATTTAGAAACTGACAAATAGTTTTTGATTAATTAACATCAAGAGAGGTGTTTAGGACAAATTTCACTGAAACGAGAATGGTGTGCCCTCTGGAAAGGAGGAAAAAAACCTAGCATTTTAATGAAATAAGATGACCAGCTTTACTAGAATCAAAATCTAGAATACCTACGAGCATAATTTAACTATGAAAGAAAAAATTGCCTATGTATAATTTCTTTCTCTCATTCAGGGGCACGCAAAACAGCACTTGTGTTTTGATTTGTTTTAGCTTTTCAATTTTGTATGTTTGTACAGTTGTCAGTAAACCTCATTTAATTATTATTTTACAATATTTATTGGAATAAATTAAAGATATTTTACTACACACTGGTACTTTCTACTCAGATGATATTTATAGGAAAGGTAATCAGTATTTTTCTAACTCATTTCTACTGCAACAATTGGCAGAGATTAGAGCCATTCATACATAAAATATACGTAATTTTTTCTCTTAAAATATGAAATATCCTTCTTGAACCTAATAAACGTTGATTCACGTTCTCCAGTATTTTTAAACCTAAAGAACACTTTTTAGTCTATATTAAAAAATAGCTCCACACTTTCTCTAGAGGAAATTCTACTCCGGGGAAATGTAGAAATGAAAATCTCGGGTGAGTAGCAAGGGCTGGGAATAACTGAATGGCGATATGTCTCTGAATTAGAAGTTGTAATAAACCAGCTGCTTGATCTGGTACAGGGCTTTTCATGCTAAGGCTGGGTAGTGGAAAATGTTAAGGAGAAATTTTCCATTCATCTCGCATACTTCACTGCTTAGAAATATGAACCACCTGTAACAGGAGCCCCAGGGGATTAACAAAAGTCGTGCAGATTACCCGTTAATGGCTCAGACCCCCTTCTGTTTGAAATTCAGCCCTTTTTTTCTCTCTGAACATTTCATGATCTCCTCCACTAATTATCTGGAATTCGTTTGTAATAAATGCCTTATGTTTCCCCTACTGAGGCATGCTTGTTCACTAACATTTCACTTTCTCTGTGTGATGTGAGTACCACAATAGAATTCCAAATGAAGAAAAGATAAACTTTGGGTTGAGTTGTGTTTGCTTTAGAAAAGGAGAGAAAATAAAAGTGTTTATTTGGGCTGGGCTGAATGGTCTGGTCATTGCATTTTCTCTGTTGATTCTTTCATTTTCTACTTCACTACAGACAGAAAAAAATATATATATTTTTTAATTCTTGGGTATAATCAAACTTGTCATTGAACTGAGTGTACAACGTTTTAAAAATTATTTTAAAGATGCCATTCTATTCTTTATTTAGTCAACATACACATATATTTGGATCCAGGACTCCAGCAAATCTATTATGTATCAGCCTTTGGGTTATTGCATGATGCCAAATGATATTCTTAGAGACCTGCATCACTGGAGTGTTTCTAAGAAACATTTAGTACCTGTATGCTTAAGTGCATAAAATTTATTTGCTTTCACGATGAGGAAATAGTTTTTGTTCCTACTTAATAAAATAGCTAAAAGATCATTTTGGCTGCAGCTCTGTCAGTTTCTAGACCAGTGCTTCTCAATAGGGTGCAATTTAGCCACCCCGCAACCCCCGCCAAGACATTTGACATTGACTGGCACATTTTTGTTTGTCACAAGTAGGAAAGGGATGTGTTATGGGTATCTCATGGTTACAGGACAGGGAAGGGGCTAAACATCCTACAACACACGGGACACCCTGCGCAACAAAGAATCACTCTGCCCCAAATGGCAATAGTGCTGAGATTGAGAAAAGTTTTTCTGGACAAAGTTAGCATCTCTGAGCTTCACTTTCATGACCTTTGAAAAGGCCATTGTTCTGAAAATTCCTATAACCTCTTCATGCTAAATAAATGTGGCTGTTTTTCTTTTCATCTGTTAGGAGATATGGACTAGTAGTTACATTATGAATTCCTTTATATCTTTGAAGAGCACTTCTGGACCACAGAGACACAGAAAAGCATTTCATAGATATTCAGGGATGGTTTCAGAACAGGCATAGCAGAATAGCTTACCCCTAACTGGGTGCAGGAGAGTTTTAAAAAATAGCATTGATGAGGCCAGGTGCGGTGGCTCACGCCTGTAATCCCAGCCCTTTGGAAGGCCGAGGCGGGTGGATCACGAGGTCAGGAGATCAAGACCATCCCGGCTAACACGGTGAAACCCCGTCTCTACTAAAAAGACAAAAAATTAGCTGGGCGTACTGGCAGGCGCCCGTAGTCCCAGCTACTCGGGAGGCTGAGGCAAGAGAATGGCGTGAAACCTGGAGGCAGAGGTTGCAGTGAGCAGAGATCGCACCACTGCACTCCAGCCTGGGTGACAGAGTGAGACTCCGTCTCAAAAAAAAAAAAAAAAAAAGCATTGATGAAATGCTATCAATGGACTTTGCAGTTGGCACCAATAAAATCCTGGCTCAGGTATCCGAGGTGAGATATTGAAGGGATTACCATCATATTTACCACATGTCTATTTCAAGGAGCATGCAGGTTTTTGTTTTGTTTTGGTCTCAATTATTTATGATGCATAAAGAAAAAGCTTCTATTTTATTAATAGTTAATCTTTATCTACTTCGGTAAGGGGAAACAAAATTAAGCCTCCTTTTTCAGTTCTATTCACCAGAGAAACAAGATACTTCCTTGTCTGGGTCCCAGACAAACTACTCTGTTTCTATATGCCTGGAAATACTCATTGCTCAAAAAATTGGCATTGACTGACATCAACAGAAATCCTCCAGCTTTTTTTTTTTTTGTCCCTAAAACAAGTCAGGTTTCTTCTTCCATTAGGGGGTTTCACTCACTAGTCCTTTGGCTGACATAGTTTTCCCCAGGAGGGTATCACAGTTGGTTTCCTTTTGCCATTCAGGCCTAAGCTTAGATGATACCTCCCAAGAGAGTCTTCTCCTAACCCTAAAATAAAAGAGTCCCTCTCATTCTGTTTTGCTCCCTTTGAAGTGTTTTATTTTTTTATTTACATATATATATAGTGTGTTTGTGTATATATATATGCTCAACACTTATCAATGTTAACTTATTTTTACATTTTGATCCTCCCCCTCACTAGAATGTAGGAGGGCTTGTCTTAATCACAACTGTTTTTAAAACTATTGCCTGGTAAACAATAGGCACTTGATAATTGTCTGTTGAATAAATATACGAAGGAAGGAAGAAATGGAGGAAGGGAAGTAGGAAGGGAGGAAAGGAGAAAGGAAGGAGTGGATTTTGAAAATCTACTATGTTCCAGCCACTGCTGGAGGTCCTGGAGAGTGCAACATCAGTGAAACAAGGGGATATTTGCCATCTCCTTCTCACAGAATGGACAGGAAGTATAAGTATTGTAGTGGAGGTACAGAAAAGGACTTTGGAACTATCAGAGGAAACAATTTGTTCTGATGCCATGTACATGCTGGGAGGGGAATAAGAGAAATCATGGAGAAAGAGACATTTGAAATGGACCTTGGGGTATTCACACTATTTTGCCAAAAGGGGAAGGATGTTCTAGAAAAGATGGCCTGAATGAATGTTGGGAGGCAAACTTATACAGTATATGGTATATATTAAACAATGAAATATGTGTTTTAAAAAATGTTCATATCTTCCACTAAAATTATTCTAACAAAAATAAAATTATTTTATCAAATAAATTCTTAGATATAAGTATGTTGAGTAATATATGGCAGCTTAACAAATACTTTTGCTATATTTGTGTCTAAGATTTATGCATATTAACATATATTTAAGCCTGTTACTTATATAATAAAAACAATTTTCTCCTTAATTTCTAGAATTAGAGAATATGATTGTTATTTTTTTTTAAATTAGCGTAATATAAAATCACTCGAGAGCTGTTGTCACCAATATTAATGTCTGCTAAGTTATTATGCAACCTCAGCTTTATGGGTCAGTTTTCATGGTTTATTGAAGAAACATTTTAAGTGTTGGCTTATGAGAAATAACGCAGTATCTTCTGCCTACATTCCACTCCTACTCATTACTGCCAATTGCATTTGTTTCCCTAATTTGTGTGCTAGAAATGATACATCTTGAAATTGAAAAATATTGTCAGAATGTGTGAAAGTACACTCCTTCGTAATATGGTTTTATTTTCATTTGTACTCCTGAGTCATTGATATAAAATGTACTCTTCTTTTCTTAAAAAATTCTACCCTGCCCATTTTTCTCCTGTTTTTAAAAATTAGATTTAAAAAAATCTGTTACTATATACATGGCTAAGATTTAAGTGAATGCTTGATGTGTTATAAGAAATACTTAATTTTGTTTGTTTATTATGAAACTAATTATTTCGTTGATTTAATCAGTGTTTTTCAAGAGCCTTGGTTTTGGTAATACAGCAATGTAAACGACAGTAAAAATCTTTGCCCTCAAGAGGCGTTCGAGAGGATAAAAAGGTTTTTATAAAAAAAAATCAATAAATATAATAATTTTAAGTAAATACATGAGACATGAATAAAATAAGACAGACCAAAGTAAAAACAGCAACTGGGAGGAGGCAGTACTAGATTGGAAAATCAGAGAAGTCTTCTCTGAAGAAGGATGATTTGAGTTGAGACCGTAATATAATATAGAACCAGTTGTACAATGATACACTACAATCATCCAGGAAAAAGAAGTAAGCTTTGGTAATATCCAAGGAACTTCAAGAAACTCAGTGTGGCTAAAACCATATGAGAAAGGGAAAGTAAGATAGGAGATGAGTTGCAGGGATAAATACGGGACAAATTTATTCAGGGAAATATAGTCCATAAAAATGTGTTTAAAATTTATACTACTACAATGGGAGGCCATTGGAGAATGTTTAAGTGGAGGAATAATATAATCTGATTTAAGATTTTAAAAGATTATTTTGGTTTTTCTGTAGATAATTGACTATAAAGGGTCAAAAATGGACACAGAGAGAACAGATGGGAAGCTACAGCAGGGTCCAGGGAAGAGATGATGGCCTCTACACTACAATACTAATGTGGAGATGGAATGAGAGGTTGGATTTAGGATACAGATATTGGAGGTGGATTTGGTAGGACTGGCGATGGATTGGATATGGGAACTGGACAAAGAGAAGAGTGGAAGATAGACTTGGCCTTATGTTAGCTGGACCTTATTCTGGAAGCCTAGTCCTGACACTTGCTAGCTGTGAAATCTCAGAAAATATTTTGCCACTTCAAGGCTCTGTTTTCACATCTTTAAAGTCAGGATAAAGACAGTTAGAATTGATAGTATTACAAAAGGAAATTTCTATGCTATATCTAATGGAGTGCTTAGAAGTCAATAGGTGTTTAATCAGTATAATATTTCAAAATAATTAATAAATAGGTATTCAAAAAATATTTATTTATTTATTTATTTATTTTTTGAGATGGAGTTTCACTTTTGTCACCAAGGCTAGAGTGCAATGGTACAATCTCAGCTCACTGTAACCTCTGCCTCCCAGGTTCAAACAATTGTCCTGCCTCAGCTTCCTGAGTAGCTGGGATTACAGGCACCCACCACTATGCCCAGCTGATTTCTGTATTTTTAGTAGAGATGGGGTTTCACCATATTGGCCAGGCTGGTCTCAAACTCCTGACCTCAGATGATCCAGCCTCGGCCACCCAAAGTGCTGGGATTACAGGCGTGAGCCACCATGCTGGCCTATAATTTATTTTGCAGTGCATTGTGACATCTGCAAGACATTTAATGAAACCTTTCCTGATATTTGGTGAAAGAATGAAAAATGACTGAACCTGGTGATAATAATTAGGTGTTGTCATATCTGATTTGTCTGACTGTACCAAACAAGTATTGATTCCTGGATTCTGCCATCTGGAAAGATGTCTCTCTCTGCTATCATCTCCATGCCTCTACCCTTGGACAGGCAAGTGTTCTGCATTTGGTTAACATTTGGATAAAGACAGAGAAGACAGGAAGTTTAGATGACACGAGAATAGAAAGGAGAGCTAATAAAAGAGATGTTGAAATCAGGACTCAAAATATTCTCAACAGGCCAACAGCATGGGCCAGAACAAACAAGAAGAACCTTGAGAGCTAGAAACGTGAAGTTCTACATTTCTGTTAAAAAAAAAGATTAACCTCACATGTACAGGATTAACAGTAACTCATGTGAAAGGGCTTAGCAGTTAGAGTTGACTGCAAGGTCAGAATGAACTTGCAGCATGACTTAGCTGCTAAAATAGTAAAGACAATTTTAGGCTGCATTAATAGAAGTCTAGTGTCAAGGACAAAAAGAAGGGGTGGTTCTACTGTGCTCTGTTCTGATCAAAGCCATCTGGAGCATGTCCATTTTTGAGGCCATGATTTATTCTTTAATTATTAAATAGTGACAATATATCATGTAAGATCGAAATGTAAGAGTACAAAACTATATCAAGCAGAGATCCTGTGCTCAAATGTTTCACAGCAGAATAAGAAACTGACAAATATGTAAATAGCATACAAGGGAGAAAGATAAATGCCTCAGGAAAGATAGCATTAAAAACTAATGTGAATGTTTTAGGTAGATATCGATCACTATCAGCTGTTATAGAAATCAAAGGAGTTGGACTTCATTCTGTAGGTAATGGGACAGTCATTGGAAATGTTTGAATTGGTGAATGATGTAATCAAATCTATGTTTCAAGAAAGAAAATAGGAACCAATACCCAGCAATTTACAGATTAGTCCATATGATCCTTAAAGCACTATCTTGTGCTTGTGGGATTTAGCCGCTTAAGATAGAACCAGAAAAAACTGAGAATTGCAAGAAGATAGATTTTGATTCAATATAATGAAGAAATTTCTACCTAGCATGCTGTCTTAAGATGAAAAAACTGTTGGTAAGCACCTGACCAACCTTTTCAACTCTTTTTGAACAGTTCCAGCGAAGATTACTTGGCCATATTTCAATCCCTACATGAGCTGATGCAGTAGCTGAGCTCAGGGTTTCCTTCTAGTCCTAGAGATCTTAGAGGTCTGTTTTTTCATGGCATATTAATAGGCTGATTAATTAACATGGTGAACAAAACAATTATTTCTGTATTTTGTTAGCTTCATATTTGTTCTTTCTATTGTCTATAAAATACCACTATGTATTTTATAACTTATTATATGATTACATTAAAACGTCTATTTAAACTACTTTTGTCATTATTTTAATTTAAAATTTTAAAATTATTTATTACATATTTTAAGTAATTTGATCAAATCACATTATTTTGTCTTTAGTCCCAGTAAGAGATCTTACCAAATTTAAATAAAGGCCATAACATAAAATTAACCTCAGCTATATGTAGTACTAGATTATCAATTAGTACAACCAACAGGGAAAAGTGGATACTGTATTTCTTCTATATTAACCATACACATATACTCAAAGTATAGAAATGGTGATTTTGCTTTCTAATTAATCACTTTAATTTCAAGGACTATTATAAAATATATTCATGATTTGGATTACAAATTATCATTCTGATTTCTTAACACTTTCAACAAAGCAATATGTCCCAAATTTATGTTAGCTTTATGTTCATTTTTAATATTACCTGTAAAATGCCAAAGCGTATGCAACAATAACATGTGTCTACTTTCTTTTTATACTAGAGAAAGTAAAAATCAATCACTGTGCTGTCAACAGGCAAGGAAACATCCAGGAAACAACAGGAAAGAGGACCACAGCACAGGCTTGTAGTGATGAATTACATTGCGTCCCACGGTTTGCAACTAAATCAACAGTGGTCTGATTAATGGTTCCCTCACATAACATTGCTGTGTGAAAAAGAAAGTTTTGCAAGTTTTCATGAGAGAGTGGTTTTAGTACACCTACAGGCACAGTGTGCGGAAGAATATGCATGAGAAGTTTCTTTAAAAAAAAGTTGATTAAACTTAGACTAATATTTATTAGCAGAAAACTTATCCTGAGAAAAACAGACTCCTATTTGTACTTTATTTATTTAAAAAATTACTAGTTTAGGTAACGTTTGTGTTGCCTTTCAGAATTGTATATTAGAAGTTCCAATTTTTCTAGAAAATGCAAGAGTATAACTGACACAACATTTATGAAATGTAAAGACCCTTTCCTCAATAAGTAAAGAAATTAGAATCAGATAATGTTAAATAACAGAAAACGTAAACACATCCTTGCAACTGCTAGCAGTTTTCTTTTTACAGGAGTGAGCCCAAGTTTGATTTTTTGTTTACAATTTCTGTTTACATTTTTTTCAAAATTTGATTTTTGACCTCGTGTTCCAGTTAGTCCCCATTTTCAGCAACCAGGCTGTCAGTCTCCAGTGGCGGGACATCCACTATCTGCTTCTTCTGCTCCTATTTCCAGGTAGCAGAAATACGTTTTGGGAAAAACAAATCACAATACAAGACAGACAGCCCAATCAGCGAGAACTCCATTTCCATTCTCTCCACCACAAAACTTCTCTGACTTTTTACATAATCTATATGCCTTTTCTTTCTTTGTGATTATTATTATTATTATTAAATATTATTGGCCAGGCAGGGTAGTTCACATCTGTAATCCCAGAACTGTGAGAGGCCAAGGCAGGTGGATCAACTGAGGTCAAGACTAGCCTGGCCAACATGGTGAAACCCCTTCTCTACTAAAAATACAAAAATTAGCCAGGCGTGGTGGCAGGCACCTGTAATCCTAGCTACTCGGGAGGCTGAGGCAAGAAAATTGCTTGAACCCGGGAGGTGGGGCTCACAGTGAGCCGAGATCCTGCGATTGCACTCCAGCCTCGGCAACAGAGCGAGACTCCATCTCAAAATAAACAAATGAAAACATCACTGTTATTAGCTGAAGATCATACTTTATTCATATTTCCTTAGTTTTTACCTAATGTCTTCTTGTCTGTTCCAGGATCCCATCCAAGTCAGGACATTACATTTGGTTAACATGCCTCCTTAAACTCCTCTTAGCTGTGACAGTTTTTCAGACTTAGTTTTTGATGACCTTGACAGTTTTGAGGAATACTGGTCGGGTATTTTGTAACAGTCTTCTCAATTAAGATTTGTTTGGTGTTTTTCCCATGGCTAGACTGAGATCATGAATTTTTAGGAGGAAGAACACAGAGGTAAAATGACGTTTTCATTACATCATATCAAGGGTATATACTATCAACATGACTTAACGACTGTTGACATTAAGCTTGAGGTAGAGTTTGTCAAATTTCTCCAGTGTAAGCATACTCTTGCCTCTCCTTTTATACTGTTTTGAAAGGAAGTCGAAGTCGAAGTCACTATGCTCAGCTCATATTTTTTTTTTTTTTTTTTTTTTGAGACGGAGTCTTGCTCTGTCGCCCAGGCTGGAGTGCAGTGGCGCGATCTCGGCTCATTGCAGCTTCTTCCTTCAGGATTCAAGCGATTCTCATGCCTCGGCCTCTCCAGTAGCTGGGATTACAGGCGCCCACCACCACGCTCGGCTAATTTTTGTGTTTTTAGTAGAGACCGGGTTTCTGCCATGTTGGCCAGGCTGGTCCCGAGCTCCTGGTCTCAAGTGATCCACCCACCTTGGCCTCTCAAAGTGCTGGGAGTACAGATGTGAGCCACCCACCCGGCCTCAGCTCATACTTTAAAAAGTGGGAGCTATACTTTGTTTTCCAAATCATCATAAAATCTAATCACAAATTTCCCTGGAACACCACAGCCACACAGAGATAGCACCTTACTGCTAGCCATCGCCTTTGACATAGAGACAACAACATGTCAGCCAATGCTGTCATATTTTGGGTACTTTCCCAGCTCCCACCCACATGGCTTCTAAGAACAGCTGTGATCCCAGGCTCTTGGGCCCACAGAGGCATGAACCTGCTGAATGAGTCTATAAAGCAGAAAAGATGCCAAGACTGTACAATTCATTAGTTATTCTTCCTCATCTGTGGTTCCTGCTTTTTGCTTAGTTTGCTAAAATTTTCCCCAGTTTTGAATTGATTTTTGGCCATTCTTTCTCTTTCCATTCTTCTTTCCGTATTCTGCCTTATTTCATAACTGCTCTATTCCCGAGTGTCTTCTTACGGGTCACTCATAATGAGTTAACAACAAATCTGATGGGATAAACCTTAAGCAGCATCATGCGCTACTTCCACAGATTGCCGATCACACCCCCATGCCTCCTGCGCTAAAGTTGAAATATGAAATTCCTTTGAGCAAAGAGTGAAACGGAAACTATCTCCATGGTAACATCATCACCAATTAGTTTAATAAAATGCATAATTTAGTGTGTATAATACTAATGAAAAGAGATTCTAAAAGCCAGGATGACACCACTTTTCTGCATTATCTTTCCAAAATGTGTACTAGACATATGGTATCCCCAAGCTACAAATGAGATGCTGAAGACATAAAGACATTCTTTAAAAATGGCCTCTGGTATCAAGAAACTTACAGACCAATTAGCTGCTCCTGTGGTATAACTGAAAGGTTATCACCAACAAAGAGTTTCTTTGCATTTATTCTGAAATTACAATTATTACTGCAACTCTTTGTGAAGGCTATATTAAATTCTCCAGCACCATAATTAAAGAATTACACATTAAATAATAACACATAGTTTTTAAGATTTAAAAGAGTGAACCTATGTAATGTTAGGATGTATTTTATTATTAATTGATTGCTCATGTTCTTTGCTGATTTTTAATTAGGTTATTCACCTCCTTTGTGGGAACTCTTTGTATATTTGGGTTACAGTTCCTTTTTCTATCATAGATTTAAGATGTTTTCTGACGTTTACTGTCTTTTTATGTATTGATCTCATTTTTACCATTCAAAGGTTTTTAATTTTACATGGCCACACTTACTGTTTTCCTACCAGATTTCTCCTTTCATATCCTTTTGACACTCTCACTAAAAACATCAAGTAGAAAATACTGAAGTTCAACACTATGTAAACAATATGACTCCAATTGTGTAAAAATAAAATAAACAAAAAAGAAGGAAGAAAATTGTGCTTCCAGAATTTTCCAAACTTTTCTGGGTTAACATATATTATCCTTATAATCAGATTAGACTATTAATTTAACAAATATTTTTAAATACACAGGTATCTCTCAAAGGGAAAATGCATAAACCCTCCAGTACCCACCAGCATTTCAGCATGGAAAGGCCAGTATTCTTGGGAACAGAGCTTAGAGTAGGTGAATTTTAAGCAAATGTCTGTGGAGACCACTTTTCCTCTTGGGACAGACATTCTGCCAAGACTGGTAAGGCTGATATTACCTGGACACAAGAGAAAGGACATTGAGCCACTGAGAAGTAGAAAGAGCCAAGAAGAAAAAATGAAATGGTTGAATCAATAATATGTCAATTCTTTATTCATATTTGAACGAAGCCTCCCTATTTCAGTTAGTAACTGAAATCAGTAAATAATTTGGAAAAGGCAATAGGGATTAAAAGGTCATTCTCTTTTTCATTAAAATACACTAAATGCACAAAATACACTGAGTCTATAAAGTGCAGCCATTTAGACCAGAGAAATCAAAGAAAATGTGAGAGTTTTAAAACAGTGTCAGTCAACAAAAGACTGAAATTAGCAAAATGGAAAGAAAAATGTTGCCTGAACAGAGAAAGGAAGGACTTAAAATAACTCTGACCAAAATATTAGGAGATATACCTAATGTAAATGATGAGGTAATGGGTGCAGCACACCAACATGGCACATGTATACATATGTAACAAACCTGCACGTTGTGCACATGTACCCTAGAACTTAAAGTATAATAATAAAATAACATAACATAAAATAAAATAACTGACCAAGAACAGGAGGCTAAGGAGTAATCTCCAGACCAAGAGACTGCTCTGTGCACTAAGCATGACTCTATTCAGCCAGTGTGGTCACTGCGCTGGGGAAGAGTCTGACGGTGGGACAGCAGCATTAGGAGTACTCAGGCCCTGAAGCCAGTCTCAGCTTCTCCATTTAGTCATACCAGGTGACATTAAGCAAATCGTTTAGACTTTCCACAAGGTTCACTGTGGAAAGTGTTTGAGATGATGGCTATACGGAACATGGTCCAGCTCTTGCCCCACTGCCTAGACTGGTGCCGCCGACACCTGGTGGGTGCTCTATGAGTTGTTGAACAAATGAACAGAAAGCACTTGATGATGACCTAAGATGAGTTATTCCTTTAGAAAGGACAGTGGACAGTAAATGGTGCAGACACGTGTTACCTTTGCTAAGAAGAGGGACAACTGCTCTGAGCAAGTGTGGTGTGGGATGTGGTTGTAATGGAAAAGCTAGAATTTGATGTGGCCTTTGATGAATGGAATAAATTTAAATGGATAAAGAACAAGAAATAGAAGACACCCAAAAAAAATAGCGTGAGCAGAAGCATTTGAAAGAAGCTGCACAAATCATTTGTGACTCAAACAAATGGAGGATGGCAGGAAATGAGGTGTAAAAGTAGGAAAAGTTGGGAGGTGGATTCATGAGTGTTTTATTATTATTATGTTTTACAACTTACATGTAGGTCATGTATATTTGTTTGTATCTCAAATATTAAATAATATTTTTGAAATGGATTAGAGCTGGAGAGGAAGGTTTGGTGCATCTAATTACTAACTGGAAGGAAGATACCTCTAAATTTATGTTTCAGGGAAAAAAACTCTTATCCCATGTTTCTGGTATAACCATTTCCTCTGCTTTTCTAACATTTTGGAACTGTTCTTGGGGACTTAATAAAATGGTATAAATTTATTTTAGACAAATTATTAATAAAACTTTAAAAGAAGTATGTTGTTGTATTTTCTCTTTTATCTCAGAAATTCAATTCCTGAACAAACTCATTAACATATTTCTGGACATATTTGTGTTGCTACATGACAGAGTATAAGGTTTAGGTCTGAAATAAAGCACCTAAAGTCAATTTAGTGCACAATAGCTTCTTTGGTTTCCTGCTGTTTTACTGACATAATGCATTTTGCTGAGAAACTGCCCTGTAAATCAGCCTGTTTATCAGCATTCCCTTTTGAGAATTTTAACATTTTAACAAATTAAAATGGGATATGCATAGCATCTCATTTCAAAATAATTTTGCATAGAGTTTTTTTTCATAAGAATTAGGAGTTTGCCCAAAATGGAGTAGAGCCTTTACTGGCCCCAGGAGAAAGGTGGGAAGAAGGCTAAATTGCACTGGAGGGAAGGACTGGGGGTGGGAAGAGATGGAGGAAGTATGAATTTCAGAGACAGCAAGGTAGAGGAGTTCATGCTGAGACCAGCAGTTCTGGATAAAAGTGAGGAGAGAAATCTCTGAGTGGGCCTAGGGCCAATGTCTGCAGAGGGGAAGAAAAAAAGCACTGGAGAGGTGCTTCACAGGAAAGGCCAGAAAAAATTCAAACAAGAAACAGATTCACACTCAAGCAAAATGTGAAAATTTGTGCCCATTAAGTGAAGGAAATTTTGATGCTGAGAGCTGACCCAAATCTGCCCTTCCAAAGTGCTGGCAAATTCACAGCAAATTCAAATTAGGGCCATCAGAGGCTGGCCACTAAAACAAAACAATAACAATATTAAAAATAAAAACACTAGCCTAACAGTGGTTATTCATTGGGAGGTTTCTGTGGGCCAAGGTTGGGCTAATTGCATCACACAGATTAATTGCCTTCTTCTTCCAACATGGGTGTCGTTACTCCTACTTTGTAGATGAGGAGAGACCTGAAGAAGTTAGGTAACTTGCCCAAAGTTACAGGATTAATGAGTCCTCAGGGAGGGTAGGAGCTGCCAGAAACTGCGAAGTTCTCTGTGTATGTTCAGGGCACTCCCCACCATATCCCAACACTTTTACAAAGTTGTCTTTAAAATTTTGGCTCATATGTCTCCTAAAAGAATTCTGAAAAGCTTCTACTCACTGGCACATTTATAAGTTAACATCTGTATTTTTCCAAAGCTTAAATAGTTGCAAATGCTGTAATTTCTGCTATAGTTTAAATACAGACATTTTAAAATAAAACTCTTTCATCACTTTTAATTTATCCAGTGGAACTTCTACATTATAGTGTTTTAATACCAACCACTATTCATTTTAAAAATACATGAACAATTTTTAAGTTACTATTTAACCTCTTCTCTTTCTCCCCCTGAACTCCTATTTCCATTCCACTTTCCCCCACAAAATTGTATCCTACTGTAATGTATTTTTGTGCTTGAAATCACTCTGACATAATGTGCTATAATAAAAACATTTACATATTTTTTAATGTTTTATGTTTAATTTTCTGTGCCTTCAGGCTCTAAAGTTAAAATAATTTCTTCAGACTTGAGTTATTATTTTAAATATCATTTGTACACAGTTGACTAAAACAATATAAGCATAATCCAAATGTTGATAGTTATTACACATAAAAGTATAATTTTATGAAGAAAACATTATTAAATGGTATAAGTAGAGCTTTTTTCCAACTGGTTAATGCACTCAGTAATAAATAGTATTTGTTGCTAAAATAAGTCAGGACTGTATTTTTTTTGTGTGTGTGTGACATGGAGTTTCACTCTGTCACCCAGGCTGGAGTGCAGTGGCATGATCTCAGCTCACTGCTACCTCCACCTCCTGGGTTCAAGTGATTCTCCTGCCTCAGCCTCCTGAGTAGCTGTGATTACAGGCACACGCCACAATGCCCGGCTAATTTTTTGTATTTTTAGTAGAGACAGGGTTTCACCATGTTGGCCAGTCTGGTCTCAAACTCGTGACCTCGGATAATCGTCCTGCCTCGGCATCCCAAAGTGCTGGGATTACAGGTGTGAGCCACTGCGCCCGGCCAGGACTGCAAAAAAAATAATAGCAAAAAAGGAGAGAGTGGCCACTTCTGAGAGTAATTTACCAAAGGCGTATTAGTCATCATTGTTACATCATATGTATAAATAAGGAGAAAAGTAGTGAGGAGTCACCATGAACAGAAGACTTTTGCCCATGTTAAGAAAAATGGTTGGCAGGCGCAGTGGCTCATGCCTGTAATCCCAGCACTTTGGGAGGCCGAGGCAGGTGGATCACAAGGTCAGGAGATCGAGACCATCTGGCCAACATGGTGAAACCCTGTGTCTACTAAAAAATGCAAAAAATTAGTTGGGTGTGGTGGCGTGCGCCTGTAGTCCCAGCTACTTGGGAGGCTGAGGCAGGATAATCGCTTGAACCTAGGAGGTGGAGATTGCAGTGAGCCGAGATCGCACCACTGCACTCCAGCCTGGCGACAGAGCAAGACTGTCTCAAAAAAAAAAAAAAAAAAAAAGAAAGAAAGAAAAATATGGTTAATAAATAGTTTCTTCTACAAGTAAGAAAAAAGTTGAAGAAAATATAGTACATTATTTTACACTATAAATGCTAGCTTTTACAGATTATTAAGTTAGATTATTTTTTTCTTACACTTACAGGCTTAACACAAATTCATCAGAATCTAATGTGAAAGTTTTCAGTTCCTCTTTCATGAAAAATATATCAGACACAGATGGGCACCTTGACTAAATGATGCTTTCCAGAAACAAATATTTTGAAAACTCTCTTTGTCACCATAAAGTTGCTTAAAAATATATATATTCTCTAGGACAATGCTTCACGGCAAGATTAAAGGTTAGGATGTCTTCCTTTTTAAAATGGAAGAATGGTAGATATGATATTGTGTATTGTGATGTAATAAGGAATATATGGTGGCCTCTGTCCCTGGATAAATATTAATAGTGTTTCCCTGAGTTCTGTGAGCTGCTATAGCAAATTAATTGAATCTGAGGAGAGGGTCATGGGAACCCTGATTTATAGCTGGCCAGTCAGAAGCACAGGTCACAACATAGGGCTTGCAACTGGCATCTGAAGTGGGGGCAGTCTTGTGGGACTGAGCCCTCAACCTGAGACATCTGACTTTATTTCTAGGTAGATAGTCCAAAATCTAGTTAAATTATAGTACACCCACTTGGTGTCTGCTGGAGATGTGCTTGGTAGGTAGGGGAAATAAACCATGTCAGAAGTGCTGTGTTGAGTGGTGTGTGAGCGTAGAAAAGGCGCTTGGTTTTTCTCCTTTCTCTAATAGTAGGTGTGAAAGTGGATGCAACAAGTAGAATCCACATCACACTCTTAACCACAAATGCATCCCGGAAACATACAAAGAACCCCTTGGAAAGTCTGTGGGCACCCCTAAGAGTACTGATACTCAAGGTTGAAGGCCTTTGAGGCCATAACAAATACGTTTGAAAAGTAGGATGGAAAAGACATCAGCTTTAGAATCAGTGAGATACGGGTTCTAAGCCTGCTGCCGCTCACAACTCCTGTGATTCTGAGCATGCAGCTTAAGCTCTGAGTCTGTTTTCTAATCTGTAAAGATGATAGTCCTAATGCTGGATACCCAGGATTGCTGAGAGGATAAATGAGGCAATATGTGTGAATCTCATGGTGCAGTGCCTGGACAAATGTACTCGATTAGATTTTAAGAAAGTTACCAGCATATTATGCATGATAAATGGGAGGATTAAGGGTGTGTGGCAATTTTATAGTTCCCTGTAGAAGACAAAATATGTTTAAATTATGTGTTTGTAGACTTAGACTTTTACCAGATCTCCAGACATTATTGTGTTCTTTCTTCATGAGAAATTCTTTAGAAAATCCACCAAAAGTAATCCTGTTTTAGCTGTTCTCCCTAACTGAAATATGTATGCTTGTATCTGGAATAAAAGATAAATGATAATTAAATGTGTATCTAAGTGAAGGTGAATAGTTTTTAAGTGTGAAAGTGCTAACAATATACTGTTTAACAGTCATTAACCTCTACATGGTAATGTCTAGATCTCAAGAAAAAATGGAAATAAGTTTGTCATTGAGTTCTCACTTTAATGTTGTCCACTAATTAAGTATATAAAGGTTAGTAGAGTGGGCAAGTTGATTTTTATTTTTAATAATAAAATATTAATTTAGTGTTAATTGCTGATAATTTAATTCAATCAACAATGGACCAGAGATCAGTAAAGTATTTTCAATTTCAGTAAGATGATGAGAACAGATACTAAATTCTGGTTGTGTGAGGGGCAAGTGGAAAGTGAGACAAAGCATATAGACTATTTCATTAAGAAATTTATTGATGTGTGGGATGCAAAAATAAATAAGACATAGTTCCTGGTTTCATGAACATAGCTCAAACTAAAATTATCTGACAATAAAATCATATCACTCAGATCTCAACTTCCACTCTCTCTACCCTCCTGGGAGGTCAGTGAACAGAGCTGAAAGCCCCAACCCTCTAATCACTTGGTTGGTTCCCTTGGCACTGGGATATCCCCTTGTACTGAGATAAATATTTAGTATAAATCATATTTTTTAATCCTCCTAACTATCCTGCTATTATCACTAGTTTATATATGGAAAATAGATTTTTGGAAAATAAAGAGACTTGTATAATGTCGAAAAACTAGTAAGTGGCAGAGCTGAATTTGAACCTATGCATTCTGAATCTAGAGCCCAAACACTACTACTCTAAGCATTATTTCTTAAAATGTGCAGGTGTAAAGAATTGCACTTTAGGTATAGAACTCACCCACAATATGCGCCCACCAAAAAAAACAAAATAAAATAATGGCATGAAGGTAGTGGTAACCTCTCGATGAACTCACAGGACTTATATAGCTCATGTTGTACAAGAATTCAGTAAAAACATTCTCAATGTGAGCTATAAAAACACTCTAGGTCATACTCTGAAGCCAAATGGATTAAAATCAGCCAGTTTACAAAAAGCAGCCTCAGATGTGATGTAGCCCTATTAGGTTTCAGTAAATAAAGAGGTCAGAAGGAGATAGTTTCCATATGAGCAAAGAGGGTTTGTTTCCTAGATCATGCTGTTAATGCTTTTCTCGGGAGCCTACAGTTTTTCACAAATTTTGCAGGGAAAAAATGAATTAAATGCCAAATAACAACTCAGAAAGCTTAAGATTTATACCAAAAATTCTCAATTTACATATTAATTGCTAGAATACTTAATATTTGCCAAATACTGTGCTTTTCCTAAGGTTCTTGTGACCTATATAGTACAACTAGGTGCTAATTAGAGTCATGCACCACATAATGATATTTCAATCAACAATGGACCACATATACAATGATATCCCATAGATTATAATATTGTATTTTTACTGTACATTTTCTATGTTTAGATACACAAATACTTACCATTGTGTTACAATTGCCTATGGTGTTCAGTGCAGTAACATGCTGCACAGTTTTGTAGCCTAGGAGAAACAGGCTATACCCTATAACCTAGGTGTGTACAGCCTAGGATATACCATCAAAGTTTGCGTAAGTACGCTCTATGATATTCCTCAGGAACAAAATTACCTACCAATGAATTTCTCAGAAGATGTCTCAGTCACTAAGTGATGTATGACTATGTATGACTACATAGATTAGAAAACTAAGGTTTCATGTTAAAAGATGGTATTCAATCCCAACCTGACTGTGCTCATCCACTACTCTAGTTCTAACCTGTGAAGAACTTGGGACATTTCAGGAAGAGAGATACTTTAGATGGATTTAAAAGACAAGTAAACAAAGAAGAGCTAGAATAGTGACCAGGTGAGCAAAAAAGAGTTTAAATAATATGACTCATTCAGAGACTTTTTAAAAAGGTGTAAATGTGCTGATGTTCACTGAGCATGGCAGAGCTGCAGAAGATGAGACTGGAGTGAGGAGGGAGTCTGATTCTAAGGGCCTTTTGTGGTGTTGTGTGTAATTGGAATTTTAAAGCAAGTGAGAGGCATCATTAGATTTGCATTTTAGAAAAATTACTCAAAAAGCAAGAAAAGTTTCCCAGGGCACTAGACAGGAAGGACATCAAAGCGCGCATCCCGGGTTACAATATACCTTCTCCCCGCAAATTAGCTGAAGTGCATTCCAATCACATTTACACAACTAATTTTTAGATACTATTTTTTATCTTTTCCCTTGAAAAATTGTAAGCATCACAAATTGTTCTTCAAGATAGAAATAGGTCGGGCGCAGTGGCTCACCCCTGTAATCCCAGCACTTTGGGAGGCCGAGGGGGGTGGATCATGAGGTCAGGAGATCGAGACCATCCTGGCTAGCATGGTGAAACCCTGTCTCTACCAGAAATACAAAAAATTAGCCGGGCGTGGTGGCGGACGCCTGTAGTCCCAGCTGCTCAGGAGGCTGAGGCAGGAGAATGACGTGAACCCGGGAGGCAGAGCTTGCAGTGAGCCAAGCTCGCGCCACTGCACTCCAGCCTGGGTGACAGGGTGAGACTCCAACTCAAAAAAAAAAAAAAAAAAAAAAAAAAGATAGACATAACTGTGGATGTTCTTTGTCCGTTATTTCCTGCAGAGTATTACGTTGTCAGATTGTAACCTTTTTTCTCAAGGCTCTGCCTTTGGACATGATACAAAGATGTTTTAATAGTGAAATTATTTTGGGGCATGGGGAAGGGAAGCCATTAAGCTTATTTATCCTGATGCTACTCTACAATGTGGGGATTTGAGAAGGCAGAAAGTAAAGGCAGGAGACCAGTAATGAGTTTACTGAAAAAATTCAGGTAAAAGTTAATACGTAAACCAAGGCAGTGGAAGCGGATATTAAGGCTTGGCAAATGTGATGGGATGACAAAGGGAAAAGAAAGAATCTAATGAATCTAATGTGGTTCCTAGGTTTCTTGTTTGGGTATCAAGGACAACATAGAGTACAGGAGGAGAAACAGGTTTGCAAGAGAGAAAGTGAAACGGGAAGAATTCCCTTGTCCCCTTCAAAGGCAAGGAATGGGGGTGTGGCTCCCTTCTCCAGTGCCTTGATGCTCAGACCTCTAGGGGAGCATGCAGACAGGCAGGCTGTGGGGCTCCGACCCCAAGGCTGTGTCTAGGGGTGAATGTTTACAGCTCCTGAAGTTTTAGTGGGCATGTGTTACAGGGTGCTCTTTTATTTTGCCGTCTATAGGTGGCTTGTGTTAACCAGCTCAATTAGTCCCTCTACCTTGTCACAAGGACAGAGAACTTTCTGAATCCTGGGTTCTTGCCTTGATGTACCGGAAGAATCGGATCACACGTGGGCTTGGAGAATGAGTGCAAAGTTTTATTGAGTGGAAGTAGCTCTCTGCTGAGGGGGGGCACCACAAGGGAAATGGTTTCCCGTGGAGTTGCCCTGGCTCTCCTCCGACTGCTTAGGCCAAACTCCGCCTTGTCCTTCAGGTTGGTGCTCTGCTGGCATGCTGGCATCTGTTGGAGTGCTGGCATCTGTTGGAGTGCTCTTCCGCCAGCGTGCTCCCTTGATGTCCTCTCGCCACCCACCGCTTGTGTCTTCTTCGTTGATGTGCTCCTCTCCAAGTCTGGTCGCCTGTGTGTCTGCCCGCTAGGGCATCTGGTTTTTATAAGCCCACAATGGGGTAGTGACAGGCCAGGGTGGTCTTAGAAAATGCAACAATTGGGCAGGAATGCAGGAGTGCATTCCTCGCTTAGGTCCGTGGGGGTGGGGCCCTAGCCAGGGACCTGCCTTTATCTAGCACTTCCCTTCCCCACTTCTGTATCATTTAAAGGGACCACGCTGTTCCCCTTTCAGCACTCCCATATCAAAAGCATTGGAGGAGCAATGAAAAGTAATCTTTGGAAAGTTTAGCTTCGTGCATCTATAGCACAGCCAAGTGGAATTGTTTGTAGAAAATTAGATGCATGGTTTTGGAATTCAGGGGAATAAGATATGGATGAAAATAAACGTATGTGAGTTTAATTGATCATCAAATAATTAAGCAGGGGGGTCATTTGGAAAGAATATATATTAGGAAATTTAAAAATAAGCCTGATGTTAGAATCCTAAGCACCATGTATAGGATAAGCTACTAAAAGGAAAACCAAGGAAGAACATTGGAGAGGTGGAATCTAGAGGTAAAACTGACATCAGAGAAGATGGGGTGATATACTTTAAGAAACAAGGCATTGTTAGAGAGACCACTAGTGAGAAAGAGAGAAAAAAAAAGTATTTGATGGACAACAACAAGGTCAACTGTCAATGAAAAATTCATGTAGTGCTTATATTTATTAAGCTTCCCAAAATAGTAGATATAATTCCAAACTTTCCTTTCCTAATCTGTCCACTCAAAGAACAGAAATAAGTGTACCAATTAAGAATATGAGATTATCACATTAATATTAAGTACAAGAATAATAAGAAAAGAGACTGTGTGTGTGTGTGTGTGTGTGTGTGTGTGTGTGTGTATGTATGTGTGCATGTGACACAAAGAGAATACTATGTTAAGGAAAGATTATTAAACAAATGTGCATGATAATTTGCTAGCTGCATGAACAAATCAATTTAGCTCTTAACCTTACACTCTGTCAATATTAACTCTAGATGATTTGAAACATTAAAAGTTTTTAAAGGATAGAAATTAGAAAAAAGTATGTGGGTAAACATTTGACTAATTTTAAGATGAGGAGGGACTTTCTAAGATTAAAATCAGTGAAAGAAAAAAAGAAAACAATTTGCATGTAAATAATTTTATAATATATGCGTATCAAAAATCTTCTAACAAATATTGAAAAATTAGAAAAATGTTTCCAACAAATACTACGGACCATGTACTATTTGCACTGGCAGAATCTGTCTGATGTAAAATTTTGGAAGTGTAGAGTCTACTGATGCCTTGTAACTGTCAGGGGACGGCTTGGACAGTAAATTGTGGTTAGTTTTAATTAATTTCAGCTTTTAGCAGTAGGAGTAGCAGCAGCAGCAATGCATCTTCTACCTCCCAGCCCCGTAGCCAGCATCCACACATGTGTTCCCGAGGCACTTACACATAATTTGTGAGAGCTAGGGTTAAAAATAAGGACCTTGTCTTCCAAATATCAGGAATCTGATTGCTGCTTCTGATAATGGAAGTGCACACACAGAGGCAGGCAGACATTGTTGTACCCCTCTCACTAGGGCTGAAGAAACTTCTAGTGGATTTAAAGGACCAATGCTTTTTTTTTTTTCTGTAATCCAAGAATCCCATACCAAGCAAAACTGTCCTTCAAAAGTGAGAGAGATATTAAGACATACCCAGATGAATCAAAACTCAGAGGATTTACTACTAGACCTGCCCTACAAAAATGCTAAAGGAAGTCTTGCAAGTTGAAATGACAGTACACTAGACAATAAATCTAAGCCATATGAAAAACTAAAGACCCCAATAGAGATAAACACATGGGTAATCATGAAAGTTAGTATTATTTTAACAATGATTTGTAATTTTACTCTTGACTGTTTTTCTATATGATTTAAAGGTTATTATGGGCTAATTGTTTCTAAGTATTATTATAACTTAGATTTGTAAATCCATGTTTTATTTTCTACATAATTTAAGAAACTAATGTGTTAACAAAAACTAATTGTTAGTTTATGTTTTTCAAAACAACATATAAAGATGTAATTCTGTAACATCAATAACTGGAAGGGGTGGGAATAGGACTGTGAAGGAGCAGAGTTTTTTATGTTATTGAAGTTAAGCTGGTATAAATTAAAGTTATAACTTTAGGATATTAAATGTAATCCTGAGGTAACCACAAATAAAATAGTTATAGAATATACACAAAAGAAAATAAGAAGGGAATTAAAATGTTTCATGACAAGAAAATAACTAATTGCACAGGACAATAGTAATGCAGGAAATGAGAAATAAAAAAGCTATAATGCATGTAGCAAACTAATACCACAATGGCAGAAGTAAGTCCCTCCTTATCAGTAATTACTTTAAATGTAACTAGATTAAACTTTTCAGTCAAAAGACAGAACGTGGCAGAATGGATAAATAAGCATGATCCAACTATATGCTGTATGTAAGAATCACTTTGATCCAAAGACACAAATAAGTTGAAAGTGAAAGCATTAAAAAAGATATTTTATGCAAATAGTAACCAAAAAGGGGCAAAGCAGCTATACTAATATCACAAAAAATAAATTCTAAGTTTAAAAAGTTATTTAAAAAAGGACATTATACAATAATAAAAGGATCAATATGGCAAGAAGCTATATCAATTATAAGCATTTATATGCCTAATAACGGACCATCAAAATATATGAAGTAAAAACTGACAGAATTGGAGGGAGAAAGAGATAATTCTACAATAATAGCTGGAAGTTCTACCTATTGAGAGTACCAATACCTACTCTCTGTAATGGATTGAACAACCAAACTGAAGATAAGCAAGCAAAGATTGTACAACACAATAAACCAGCTAGATCTAACAGATATAACAGTACATTGTATCCAATTCCTTGAGAAGAAATTCACATTTTTCTCAAGTACACATGGGAGATTTTCTAGGGTAAACTACAAGTCAAATCACAAATTACATCTTCCAATAGATTTAAAAAATAGATGTTATACAAAGTGTTTTCTGCAATTACAATGGAATGAAGTTAGAGATGAATAATAGAAAACTGAAAAATTCACAAACTTGGAAATTAAACAACACAACTTTAATAACAAATGGATCAAAGAAGCAAGGACAATGGAAATGAGAAACTACTTGGAGATAAATGAAAACAAAAACACATCATATCAAAACTTATGAGATGCAGCAAAAGCAGTACTAAAAGGGAAACTTACAGGTGTAAACACATTTAAAAAAATATATATTTCAAATCAACAACCTAACTTTACAACTTAAATACTGGAAAAAGAAATACAAACTAAACTCAAGCTACCAGAGCGATGGAAACAATAAAGGTTGCAGCAGAAACAAATGAAATACAGAAAAGAAAAACAATAGAGAAAATAATAAAAATACAAACTAAAACGCTAGAAAAACATATTAGAGAATCAATAGAGAAAATCAATGGAACCAATGCAATTGGTTCTTCAAAAAGAGAAATTTGGCAAAACTTTGGCTGGATTAAGAAAAAAAGAGAAAACTCGAATTAGTAAAATCATAAATGAAAGTGGAGATATTACTACCGATTTTACAGAAATAAAAAGATTTGTATTAGAGTTGTATTAGTTCATTCTCGCATTGCTATAAAGAAATAGCGGAGACTGGGTAATTTATTTTAAAAAGAGGTTTAAATAGCTCATGGTTCTGCAGGCTGTGCAGAAAGCATGGAGGCAACTGCTTCCGGGGAGGCTTCAGAAAACTTACAGTCTTGGTGGAAAGTGAAGGGGGTGCCAGCACTTTACATGGCCAGAGCAGGAGGAAGAGGTGGGGGGAGGTGTAACACCCTTATAAATGACCAAATCTCATGAGATAGTGTGCTGTTCACACTATCATGAGAACAGCACAAAGAGGATGGTGCTAAACCATTCATGAAGGACCACTCTCATGATCCAAACACCTCCCACCATGCCTCACCTCCAACATTGAGGATTACAATTTGACATGAGATTTCATGAGGTCACAGAACCAAACCATAACAAGAGTACAATGAATAATTGTATGCCAACAAACTGAGTAACCTAGATGAAATGGACAAATGCTTAGAAATACAAAACCAAGTCCGAAATACAAATAAATAGAAAATCTAAAGAGATCTATAAAAAGTAAGGATATTGAATTAGTGATCAAAAGCCTCCCAACAAAGAAAAGCTCTGTATCTTATGGCTTCATTGGTTAATTCTACCCAAAATGTAAAGAGCTAACATCACCTCTTCCCAAACTTCTTAAAAAAACCAAAGCGGAGAAAACACTTCCCAACTCTTTCTATATCAGCCTTGCCCTGATACAAAAGCAAGACAAAGAAATGACAAGAAAAGAAAACTACAGACCAATAACCCTTTTGAATATTAATGCAAAAATCCTTAACAACACACTAGCAAACAAAATTCAGCAGCATGTTATAAAGATTATACACCATGAGCAAGTAGAATTTATTCGGGAATGCAACGATGGTTCTACATACAAAATTCAATCAATGTAACAAACCACATTGACAGAATTCAGAAAAAAAAATCACATGATCATCTCAATTGATGTGGAAAAAGCATTTGAAAAATTCAAACTTTTATAATAAAAGCATTCAAAAAATGAGGAGTAAAAGGTGCTGTGACCTGAATTGTGTTCCCCCAAAATTCATATGTTGAACCCTAATCCCCAATATGATGGCATTTGGAGACGGGGCCTTTGGGAGATAATTAGGTTTAGATGATATCATGAAGATGAGGCCTTCACGATTAGATTAGTGACTTTATAAGAAGAGGCACCAAAGAGCTTGCCTTTTCTCTCTACTATGTGAGAACACAGTAAAATGGCAATACCTGCAAGCTAAGAAGAGAGTCCTCACCAGAACCTGACCATACCGGCACTCTGATATCATACTTCTAGTCTCCAGAACTGTGAGAAAATAAATTTCTGTTTGTTAAGCCACATAGTTTATGACATTTTGTTAAGGCAGGCAGAGCAACCTAATACAGAGAGAAACTATATCAACATAATAAAAGTCATATATGAAAAACCCACTGCAGGCATCATACTCAATGGTGAAAGACTGAAAGCTTTTTCTCTAAGATCAGAAACAAAACAAGGATGCCTACTTTCATCCCTTTTCTTCAACATAGTACTGAAAGTCCCAGCCAGAACAATTAGTCAAGAAAAAGAAATGAAAGCCATTCCCACTGGAAAGAAGAAGTAAAATGATCTCTGTTCATAGGTGATATAATCTAATATGTAGAAAACTGTAAATGTTCTACAAAGCAGGTCACAGCAAACAGTGTGACCTCAATTTTGTGATACTTAAAGAGGTGGTTTGGAACTGAAAACACTTAGAAGGACATACACCAAAATATTAATATTTATTCTCCATGTTTTTCCAGGTTTGATAAATTCTCTACAATGATCAAGTATTGCTTTTATAATTAGAAATTATGTACAAAAGTGTAAAAAGCCTCTACAAGTTAAAGAAAGAGTGAATTAGTAATAAAAATACTAACCAACATACATGTATTTGGCCATTCTTGCATTGCTATTAAAAAATGCCTGAGACTGGATAATTTCTAAAGAAAATAAATTTAATTGGTTCACTGTTCTACAGGCTGTACAGGAAGCATACCAGCATCTTCTCAGCTTCTGGGGAGGCCTCATGAAACTTCCAATCGTGGCAGAAGGCAAAGTGGGAGCAGGTGTCTCACATGGAAGAGCAGGAGCAAGAGAGAGAGTGATGGGGGAGGTGCCACACACACTTTTAAATGACCCAGTCTCACAAGAACTTACTCTCACAAAGACAGGACCAAGTCATTGAAGGATCCGCCCCCATGACCCAAACACCTCCCACGAGGCCCCACCTCCAGCACCAGGGATTACAATTCAACATGAGTTTTGTGTGGGATCAAATATCCAAACTATATCAATATATAAAAGAGAAATACCAATGGCTAATAAGCATATGAAAAAAATCTAACCTCACTGGTAGTTAAATAAATGTAAATTAAAACCATTACAAATTATTAAAGCGAGAGAAATAAAATGCTCATTGCCAGCAGGGTATCCTCATCTCCTGCTCCAGTGGGAATTAATTGTTACAGGCTTCTGGACAATTGTTCCTGTGACTCCAATTCAAGCTACTTTAACAAGAAGAAGGATTTGGGGGAGTCTACTTCAATCCAAGGGAAAGTTAAAGAATCTGGCCACAAAGAACAAGGATATAGTAGGGCTTCAGGCATTACTGAAATTGGGAACTTAACAGCAATCAGGACATTACCAGTGTTACCATAAGTAAAGTATCTCTCCCTTCATTGCACACTGACTTGCTCTGCATGTTGAAATGGGGCCTTTGCTGGGTACAGTGGCTTATAGCTTATAGCTTATAGCTCTTTGGGAGACCAAGGTGGAAGGATTGCTTGAGGCCAGGAGTTCAAGTTCATCACTATATTACAAAAAAAAAGAAGTGGGTCCTCTGATAGCTTTAGTGCTTTACATTTTCTAGCTTCAGCTACCGGTAAGATTCTGACCTGCCTGTTTCTTAGCCCCTGGTACATAAAGGCTGGGAAGAGCCTCCAGACCTATATTGGGTGATTTATTGGCCCTAGAAAATAAAATGCGGCTGCAGGAGCAAAGTTAAATAAACACATGGAAGGTTCTGTGGAAATTACATAGAAAAGGGAGAACCAGCATTGCCAGAATAAACAGGGTGGTGCTGCATAGTCCAGGCAGTAGGTGTCCACCACATAAAATAAGACCCTTTACATTTGGAACCTTGGACACAAGTCTTATACTCCATCTTAAAGAGAGATAAACAGGAACACTGATACATTGATGCACAGATATTTATTATAAGAGGAATCAGTCAGTTTGTATACATACACACACATATTATAGCACAGCCACCTTTCAAGAGGGGCCTAAACTTCAGCATTTTTCACTCTTCCCACCCTCAATGGAGAAGGGTGTGACAAAGAGTGAGCAAAGCCTGCCCATGAATATTCTCTGGCTTCTCCCCTTCACATGCGGGCCCACACAACTAGATAAGCAAGGCTGCAAAGTTGTGTACCTTCAGCAATTTAAATGTCTCTGGGGATAATTGAACATTTGTTTTTCTCCAAAGGCAATCTCTTAGAAAACAGTAGAATGATGAAGTAACACCATGCCTGGAGGCTGTGGTAACCAAAATTCATCATTTTTACGTATTCCTTAAAGAATATGCTGAGAAAACCATAGTCAAAATAGGGCCATTAAAAAGATTTCTATGTCAAAATCCTATAAACTAACAAAAAATAATAGCCTAGGAAAGTATTTCTGAGAAACATTACTGACTAAAAGTTCTGTAACACAAATAGATAGGTATGTATAAATTTATAAATACAAATATTTAGGTATAAATCCATTGATCACATGCAGCCATAATAAATTAAAAGATATAAAGGAGGTTACAGCATGTACGCCTGGAGAGGCAGAGAGAGAGATATAGAGCTGTAAGTAGAGCTGGAGAAAGGCACTTAAAACTTAAAACAAAAAACAAAAAACTTATGGGCAGGGAATGGTGGCTCATGCCTGTATTCCCAGCACTTTGGGAGGCCAAGGTGGGCAGATCACCTGAGGTCAGGAGTTTGAGAACAGCCTGGCCAACGGGGTGAAACCCCATCTCTACTAAAAATAAAAAATTAGGCATGGTGGTGGGCACCTGTAATCCCAGCTACTCGGGAGGCTGAGGCAGGAGAATTGCTTGAACCCGGGAGGCAGAGGTTGCAGTGAGCTGAGATCGCACCATTGCACTCCAGCCTGGGTGACAAAGCAAGACTCTGTCACCAAAAAAAAAAAAAACAAAAAAAAAAAACCTTTGTACAAAATTCTTACCATCTTTCTGGAAAAATTAGATTTCTGTGTACCAAATGGTTGGTACTGAAATTTTGTTTCAATACATTACAACGACTACACACAGAAAGACTCTATTCTTAATCCCCTTCAATGTGCCAGATACTGCTCTAAAGGCTTTACCTATATGAGCTCATTTAATCATCACTATTAGTCTGTAGGGTAGGCCATGTTTTTATTTCATTTGCAGAAAGGCTTAGTAACTTCCTCAAGATCCTTAGCTGGTACCTGGCAGAGCCAGAACTAGAATCCACAAAGTCTGGTTCCAGCATCTGGGCCTTAGCCACTCTACTGTGTTGACTCCCTTATGATAATTTCATAACACAGCCTACTATTTTGTGTTAGTAAAATTATAAATCCACTTTGTCATTGTATAACATGGGAATACATTTTAAAACAACTATTGAACACTTTTTATTTTGTGTTTTCTGTGAAAAGCAAAGCAGTGGTACTTTACCACAGGGAAAGTGTGTGCTTAAAGCCCACCCACTCTGAGAGTATTATTCACCAGGGATTATATTATTTATAAATATAATTTCCATATCATATCCATAAAGAATGTAAAAAAGAGGCCAGGCACGGTGGCTCACACCTGTAATCCCAGCACTTTGGGAGGCCGAGGCAGGTGGATCACGAGGTCAGGAGATCGAGACCATCCTGGCTAACATGGTGAAACTCCATCTCTACTAAAAATACAAAAAATAAAATTAGCCAGGTGTGGTGGCGAGTGCCTGCAGTCCCAGCTACTCGAAAGGTTGAGGCGGGAGAATGGCCTGAACCTGGGAGGTGGAGCTTGCAGTGAGCCGAGATCGTGCCACTGCACTCCAGCCTGGGCGACAGAGTGAGACTCTGTCTCAAAAAATAAAATAAAATAAAAGTAAAAAAGCACAAATTCTTATTTTGAAAAATATTTCACTTCTCTAACCTTCTAAATCATGCTTCATGTGAAGATAAACCATTGTATTTCAGGGTTGCTTCAAAACATATCTTTGAGGCTGGGCACGGTGGCTCACGCCTGTAACCCCAGCACTTTGGGAGGCCGAGGCAAGTGGATCATGAGGTCAGAAGATCGAGACCATCCTGGCTAACACGGTGAAACCCCGTCTCTACGGAGAAAAAAAAATACAAAAAATTAGCCAGGCGTGGTGGTGGGCGCCTGTAGTCCCAGCTACTCGGGAGGCTGAGGCAGGAGAACAGCGTGAACCCGGGAGGTGGAGCTTGCAGTAAGCCGAGATCACGCCACTGCACTCCAGCCTGGGCGACAAAGTGAGACTCCATCTCAAAAAAGAAAAAAAAAACAAAAAACCTATCTTTGAAAGCAGTGAAAATAAAGCATTCTATTTTATATTTAGATTGTCTATTTCATGACCATTTTAACATGGCATGGGTTAAAATAAAAGTATTTCTCTAATCTATACAGCATAATTAGCAGAAGGTTAAAATCTTGAGATCTGAAATTTTTGTGGGAAAGGTCTCACTTGTTACAATATATAATTACTTTTAATTAGCCTTAATGACTATATTACTCACTTATTTTTAGATACAATGAAATAGATACTGCAAAATAAATTTTATTTGTATAAATATATAAAATAAATAAGTTATTTAACAACCAGTAAATCCAAGTATTTTCTAAGGAGAAAAATGAATAATTTTTTTAAGTTGATTATATATACATTTTAATAAAGTAATTTAGGAGAAATCTTTGCCTATCCTTCTAAGAAAAGTTTTGTAAGAAAACTGAGTTGGCATGCATTGTTGAAACAATGTTGAGGAAATAGTTGAAAGAGCTAAAAAGGCAATCCAGAAAAAGACAAAAATCCCCAAAATAGATTCTGCTGAAAGAATGAGATAGTCAACAATCTGATGAAATGAGATAGTCAACAATCTGGTGAATGACCAAAAATCATTGGTTATTCAAGTGTGTAATTCTAGCACCTAGGAGAGCACCTGCCAATGTGCTAGGGAGGTTTGTTCATGTCTTCAATCAATATTTATTATTTGCATGCTGTATTAGTCTGTTTTCACGCTGCTGTGAAGAACTACATGAAACTGGGTAATTTATGAAGAAAAGAGGTTTAATGGGTTCACAGCTCTACAGGCTTAACAGGAAGCATGACTGGAAGTCCTCAGGAAACTTACAATCATGGCCAAAGGCAAAGGGGAATCATTCACCTTCTTCGCGTGGTGGCAGGAGAGAGCGAGAGCCATAGAAAGTGCCACACCCTTTCAAAACCATCAGATCTTGTGAGAATTCATTCACTCTCAGAACAGCAAGGGGGGAGTCTGTCCCATTATTCAGTCACCTCACACCAGGCCCTTCCTGCAACACAAGGCGATTACAATTTGGCATGAGATTTGGGTGAGGACCCAGAACCAAACCATATCTATGCTTAATGGGGGGCTAAGAAAACATAGAGGGTATAGGCTGGGAGAAGGAGAAGGTGCTGAGGTGATTCAAGTAAGGGCCTTGGTTAAGAGAGGGAGGAAAATGATTCTGTTCTCTAGTTTTGGTTGAAAACCACTGTGAGCCTCTGTTCCTGGGCTATGTGGTTTAAATGATCATTGTATAATTAAATTCAAGTGCATATATTGACTTATCTTTCCTATTTGAGATATTGAAATCAGATAACTGTTTATATAATATTCACATATATTAAAAATAATTAAGCATATTATATGGTAGGTTCTTTATGACATTGTTCCCTAAATATTCTATACCTAGCCTACTTTGTGAAATTTCTCCACCAAAATGTAATCCCTTATTTTCCCTCATATTTTAGTCACTGGGGCATTCTTTCTTACTTATATCTCCAGGTGGCCTAGGCTTCCTCACACTATGGTGGCTTTGTTGTAAAAGTAAGCATTTCAAGGAGATGCTTTTATGACATGACCATGGAAGTCAAATAGTGTCAGTTCAACCATAGTTCCCACCCATATTTAAGGGGAAGTAATAGAGTCTCAACCTCCCCAGTCTTGATGGGAAGAATATCAGTGTTGCTGTGTAAGAAATTCACGTGTGATTAATACAATACAGTAAATAACTAAATATAAATATAGAGCAATTTTAGGAAAATACAATCTGCCACAGTTTACCTTCTGGCCACAATTTACATCCCTTCCATGTGGGAAATGTACTCATTTCTTCTCTCAAGACCCATAAGTATTATCACATTATAATCAGCTCAAAATCCAGGATCTTGTTAATTAATCAGGTTGAAGTGTGGATAAGGCTCAGGTATAGTTCCTTAGGTTCAGCTCAATGAGTATAGTTTCAATCAATTAAAGATTTTTAAAATAAAGAAAAACAAATATTCAACACACAGTGGTGAGATAGGGGTAGGACAACCACTTTGCACGCACCCATTTAAAAAGGGTGAAAGTATGTATGTTTATTGCAGCCCAATTCACAATTGCAAAGATGTGTAACCAACCTAAGGGCCCATCGACCAATGAGTGGATAAAGAAGTGGTATATATACACCATGGAATGTTACTACGCCAGAAAAAGGAATGAAATAATGTCTTTTTGCAGCAACTTAGATGGAGCTGAAGGCCATTATTCCAGGTGAAGTAACTCAGGAATGGAGAACCAAATACCATATGTTCTCACTTAGTGAGAGCTAAGCTATGAATACACAAAGACACACAGAGTGGTATAATGGACACTGGAGCCTCAGAAAGGGGAGGTGGAGGGTGTGGGATAAAAACTGCCTATTGAGTACAACATACATTACTTGGGTGATGAGTGCGCTAAAATCTCAGAATTCACCACTATATAATTCATCCATGTAACCGAAAACCACTTTACACCAAAAGCTATTGAAATGAAATTTTTCTTTTTTAAAGAGGAAAAGTGTGAAGTCCACAAGAGTCAACTGGGCTCACAAGAATCAGTAGTCCTTACCAATTCTGAAATCTAGGAGCACATAATGTTAGTTCCCTGATCAGGGCTTATCCTATTACTGCCTGGGAGTTGTCCACTGTGGTTCCCTGGCCCTACCATAAAGGCTTTTGGGTTCATCTCTGGATTATCTTTTCATTTTCATAAAATTCAGCCCATATTTGCAGTAGAATAGGTTTTTATGCCTGCATCTTACTCATAAAAGTTAGGAAGCCCAAAGACCTCTTTTTTTTTTTTTTGTCTTTTCCCTCCCTGTTCCTTTCAGTTCAAACTTGTATTATTCTTTTAAAAACTTTCAGAGGTTTTGTGTGCCAGTTTGTAATCCACCCACAAATATCTTTGAAAGAAACTGTTATTTCCTGGGAGCTTTGTGAGCCTGAAGAAGGAACACGCCTTTAAGATTCTCAGAAGTCCTACCATTTAACAGAGAGGTTGTGCTAAACATTCTCTTAAGATCCTTACAGGGTCTCTTGTCTGTTTGAAGGGATCTGTGAGATGCCATCTCAAATCCTTCTGGGGTCTTAATAAGGGCTTCATCTTTAGACCAAGTTTTCCTTTCAATGCCTTGAATTTTATCTTAACTAGAGCCATTTTTTTTAACTTTAGAAGCATTTGCTATCTGAAGAGGCTGAGAAAAAAAGTTTGATTCATTTACTTATTTTTAAATTCACAAGTCTTGGTATCTTTACATTAAATGGTTTGCTCCCTATTTTATTTTTCCTATAGGATTTTATTACAAGCAGCAAAAAATCAGATGACATTTTTAACATTCCTTCTGTTACTATGATATCTTCATGTATTTGCACAGACTCTCTTGTTTGGTTGGATTTGAAAACATTATTCTTTTTATTTTTCTGGTTTATTAATCTTTTTGAAAGCACAAATTTTAGGTATTATTGAGCAAGTCTAATTTGCTTTTATTTTCTAATTTATAAATGAATATAATTTGTTAATGAATATTTCACTTTTAATTTTTCTTTAAGTATATTTAATTCTTCTTCTAGTTTGTTAAATTCTTTTCCTTTGAGCATTTAGAGTTATAAAATGTCAGTTGAGAACCATTTGGCCACATGTATTATTATTTATTTTTATTTTTTCTTTATTATTGTTTTTTAATTTTTTTCTTTATTTTTAAATAGTTTGTAATTAGTACTTTTAATTTTTAGATTACTAGAGACAGGTTTGAAACTTACTAGTTTTATTATTTTTTATGGCATTGTTGCCAGAGAATGTGATTTATATAAAATTGTTTATTTTTTTCTCCTTCGAGAATCTTTCTTTTCTTTTCTCTTCAGTCTAATACTTTCAAAGACCATTCCACATGTCTTTGAGAAACTTGTATTTGTTATCATATATACTTATGCATGTAATATATATTATGTCAAGAGTCTTAATTGTGCTATATAATCTTTCTTTCTCTTTAAGTTTAGTCTACTTAGTCTGCTTTTACTGGATATTTTTTAACCCAATCTAAGATCATGTCTTTTTTCAAAAAGAGAACTTGTTTCTCCAGGCTTGTCCTCTCATTCCCTCCCTGTGACATCAAACATTATATTAATTTTTCCTTAAAATTCAGATCATAGTTTTTAAAATTATAAATCAATGTTTACTTTAACTTAATACAATCTACTGGCTCTTTTGCTCACCACTGTTTCTTATATCCCACAACTTTTTCTCTTAAATTTGTATTTTCTTTTGCTAGATTATAACCTTGACTACTTCTCTAACCTTCTACTCTAACTACTCACCCAACCCTAAATCCCTGTCTATTTCTTAGAGTAGTAGTTTAACTTTTTCTTTGTCTCATATCAGTCAAGACAAAAGAAATCAGTAATGATCTACTATTATTTATGCCTATCCCCTTGAGTTTGTTTCTAAATAAAGAGCTTTTTCTACTTGAGAAGAGTTCAGTGAACAACTCTACTGTCATTTATTTTTCTTGTTCCATTTTAAAAATAATTGTTAAACTATAGAAGATATTGTATATTTCTCTTTCTTTGAATAATTTAAAATACACAGAAAAGTGGGAGCCACAAAGAAGACACCATAAATTAATAGATTTGTTGATGAATTGCATTGAATTAAATTCTAGTCAATATCTTGTTTAAAAGCATGAAAATTTGAGAATTCAGCCAGTAGTACTGTACTGAAATTTTATTTGGACTTTTTTTTTTTTTACATGAAAGCTCTACACTGAAGATGAATATTACTAGAAATAAAAGTGAAATTGTCCTAACCGAAGCAGGGGATCCACAATATGACTGCCTACTCTGTCACCCCCCTAACCCAGTAACTCTCCTCTACAAGGCTCTTTGGAGAATTCCCATGAACCCCCAGACGTTTATCAGGACACTTAGACACGGGCATAATATACCCTAACGATTCCTTGTAAGTCAATATTTTTGTCAGCCAATGCTTTAATGGCTTTTATCTTTGGACTTTTATGAAGGAAAAATATAAATAACTACATCTCTAGATTCTAAAATCAAAAGTCATATGGTAGCCTAAAAAGACAGATTTCTGTTCAAAATAGGTGAATATGAAAGTAACAAATAAAATCAAAACAATTCTTTGCTCATCCAGCACGCGAAACTTCTCAAGTGTCAAATAAATAACCAGCTACATCCCAAAGAGAAAAGTCACGTTGGGTTATAGTTTAGCATAACTATGGTGTGCTACCTAATAATCTTTGCTCAGTGACCCCTTAGCTAAGAATGCCTGTATTCTAATTTTATTTGGGTATTTATTTTCTTCAGAAACTGACTTACATATGATCTGAACAGATGTCTCTGCATCAGAAACACATCTGCACCTGATGTTGATACACATCACTTCACACTAAATTTTCATGAAGGAACTCCACATTTACTCAAAATGCAAGCTGAATAAAAAACTATTCGGGACTGGCATGAACCCGGGAGGCGGAGCTTGCAGTGAGCCAAGATCGCACCACTGCACTCCAGCCTGGGTGACAGAGCAAGACTCCATCTCAAAAAAAAACAAAAAAACAAAAAAACAAAAAAACAAAACTATTCAGGACTAGTAGGTTATTTTGTTTTCTAAAAATCTGATTTCTTTTCAGATAGCTAGACATGTCTTTCTGAGATTCTAAATATTTATTTAGAAAGCTCAACGAACCCCTAAAATAGCACAATCACCTTTTATAAATCATGAATGAAATAATGCATATGATGTAAAAGCTGAATTTGATTATTTTGTAATGCAAAGTCCTGCTGAACTTTTTTAAACCCAAACTTTAAACTATGTTTTCAGTTTCATTATGAAATTTAATCAGTATAAATAATATTTATTTTCTCTATTGATATATGTATAGCGTGAGTTAAATAGGAGTAGGAGATTTCTGTATAACAAATTTCTCAGTCAATTTGATTTTAAACCTACACTTTCTCAATTTTTTTAATATCCTCTATCATAAGGTACATCCAATTTGTAAGTAAAGCTAAAATAGATTGTGAGAAATCTCAAATTATTTCTTATTAGACCACATAACATTTTCATAGTCAGAGAAATTGATAGTCCTCTGATATTTGGTCTTCAAATTTCATATTACATTTTTTCAACATTTTATTGCTTTTCACTTGGCTTAATTCTGTATGTGTTGCTGGAGAACAAAAAAAGAAAGTAGTATGTCCAAAGAGAATATGCAACAGCATGTGATGCAGTCTTCTGAACATTATTTCGACATCCCTAATAAAAGTCAGGACATACTTCAAAGTATACATCAAGAACTATTACTTATAAGCCCAGAGCAAACCAAACGGAAAATAATATCCTCAGCAATTTAATTTGGATTACATTCATCCATGTTTACTTCCTTCTGTACACTTAGACACACTAATGCTAAAAAAAATTAATGTTGGCAAGAGGAGCTGTGCTAAAAACTTTTCCTACGACTCTATTCCCTCTTATCTTTCGGAATGCATAATCTGTAAATTCTACTGACAGTGTAAATCAATCAAAAGTGCTTAGAATGCCAAATGAGTGTATGCTTCATAGTTAAGTGTACAATAATGGAAAAGATGAAAAACATTACTGCACCCCTGGTATTGTTGAGAACACTTATGTAATTACACAGCTCATCAGCCCCTGCCAACTAAAAGGGCAACAGCCAGGTGGAGCATCTTGATTTGCCACATCATTCTTTATCAGGAATGTTCAAAAATACGTTATTAAATTTGAAAGAGGGAAGAATCAAAGATCAGCTCTTAAGCCTCCCAGAAAGACATATTTTCTTTTTCTTCTGTCAGCCTTGTTTTGGGAGCAATAATTTCAGTCAGGAAATAAGAATACTTTTTTTATGACAGGCTGATACTCCTCAGGGGTAAACCCCAACTATAATCTTCTTTGACATTTACAATAATTTTGAGTCTTTCCTGTGTGAAATCTTTTTTAAAAATCCAACTCATAAACAATTGTATAACCAGTGGCACACCCAAAAGGGTACAAGCCCTCTTCACAGAGAGAGAATAATTCATAAGAACTTTCAAAGTTAAATGAAAAAAAAAATAAAATGAAGCAAACAAAATTCTTCATCAGTATCTGTCATTTATCAAAATCTAGAAACAATAAGGTTATACTCACAATAAACAGTTACAGATTTTATTGAAGGATAATTTTAGTGCAGTTCTGGAGTAAACTACGAATCTTTCTTCATTAGAGTAAATCTTAGAGTCATTAGGAAATATCCTGTTGTGGGTCTAACTGGATATCTTCTATTTGTGCTCATTTGGTTACAAGTTGGTTATTTTCTTGTTCTGTGGATTCTCATTCTCTATGTGAGATTGTTTCTTCCCACATAGAAGAGATTCTATGCACTGTGCAAGAAATATCCATCTCCAAAGATGTGCAGTACACATATTTTACAATATAAACAGTTTCTCAAACAAATATGTTTATATTAATAGCTGTGTGGGTTTGTACCTTCTGTTGAACAAAGGGTTGTTATAGAAGCATTGTGTAGCATTGCTGCCTTCACTTCACAAGAAGCCACACACCTTCTAAAAAATGCCACCCGCTCTGTTCCTTAGTTCTACCATAGGTTTTGTCAAGCACTTTAGGTTAGCAGAATAATGGAAGAAAAAGGAAAACCAAATTGTTACTGAATACTTACTTTGTGGCAGAAAAGTTACACCATATATAGACCAACTTTTTCTCATTTAATTCGTAAACTAATTCTCTGAGGTAGGTAATTTTGAGAGGTGAAGCCAGCTGGGCTTCTGGGTCAGGTGGGGACTTGGAGAACTTTTCTGTCTAGCTAAAGGATTGTAAACGCACCAATCAGCACTCTGTGTCTAGCTAAAGGTTTGTAAACACACCAATCAAGGCTCTGTGTCTAGCTAATTGCATAGGGAACTTGGAGAACTTTTGTGTCTAGCTAAAGGATTGTAAATGCACCAATCAGCACTCTGTGTCTAGCTAAAGGTTTGTAAACGCACCAATCAGCACTCTGTGTCTAGCTAAAGGTTTGTAAATGCACCAATCAGCACTCTGCCAAAACGGACCAATCAGCTCTCTGTAAAATGGACCAATCAGCAGGATGTGGGTGGGGCCAGATAAGGGAATAAACTCAGACCACCGGAGCCAGCAGCAGCAATGTGGTCAGTTCCCCTTCCATGCTGTGGAGCTTTGTTCTTTTGCTCTTTGTGATAAATCTTGCTGTTGCTCACTCTTTGGGTCTGTGCCACATACACGAGCTGTAACACTCACCACCAAAGTCTGCAGCTTCACTCCTGAAGCCAGCAAGACCAGGAACCCACCAGTAGGAAGAAACTTCGGACATGTCCCAACATCAGAAGAAACAAACTCCGGACACACCATCTTTAAGAACTGTAACACTAACCGCTAAGGTCCACGGCTTCATTCTTGAAGTCAGCGAGACCAAGAACCCAGCAATTCTGGACACAATTTCACCCTTAAATTACAACTAAAGATATCAAGCTAGACTTTAAGAGGTAAAGATCTTTGCCCGGGTAATATCCAGGTTGTTGATGGAGCCAAAATGTGAATAATCTCTGAGCCTCGGCCTGTTTATGTTACAATTCCTAGACTCCATGGAACCTAAAAAACTTCCTGTCATTAGAAATAGGACATCTACTCTGTGGTTTTTCTTGTCTTTATACTATCAAATTTACTCCTGTTTCCCTTTCCTGCCTCAACTTGTAGAAGCAGTTGAGGTAAAAATAATCATTTGTGGCTCCACTGGAAGTTTTTTTTTCAGCGATTTTACTACCCCTACATAACTGACCTTATACAGAAAGGGCATAGCATTGTCTGTGCCAGGGCAAGGGGACTTACAAATGGTGTTCCTCAAGACGTGTTTTTGTACTAATGTTTAATATGGTCCTTAGAAACTTGAAGACAAGAATGGAAGGCATACTTATTCATTTCGCCATCTGCAGCCTTGTGTGCAAATTTACACACAAGAAAAAGAACACTGGCCAGCACCTTTACGAAGTAAAGACAATTTGAAGTTTGAACTCAATAAACTAGAAAGAGAAACAGAATTAAATTCAATAAAGAATGTCTGTCCTCACTATTCTTACTCAACACACTGCTGGAAATTTCTAGATATTCAATAATGCAAGAAAAAGGAAATCAAAGTCAAATAACTTGGAAAAGAAGAAATAAAAGTCCCTGTTTGCTGATGATACAAGGATCCATGTAGAAAATTTCCAGAGACCCACAAAACACCTTTTAGAATTAATAAATGAATTCAGCAAGGTTTCAGGACTCAGTATAAACCTATAAAAATCATTGTATTTCCGTATGCTGGCAATAAACACGTGGACACCAAAATTTAAAATGCAATACTATAATCATTCAAAAAATTAAATACGTAGGTGTAAACCTAACAAAACATGTCCAGGACTTGTATGCCAAAAAATAAAAACCAATGCCAAAAAAAAAAAATCACAGAAGATATAAACAAATGCAAAGACAACATGTTCATGATTTGGGAGACTCAACAAAGCAAAGGTTCCAGTTCTCCCCAAATTGATAAAAAGGGTTCATGCAATTTCTATCAAAATCCCAGCAAGGGCTGGGAATGGTGGTTCATGCCTGTAATCCCAGGACTTTGGGAGGCCAAAGTAGGTGGATCACTTGAACCACTTGAACCCAGGAGGCAGAGGTTGCAGTGAGCCGAGACACTGTGACTGCACTCCAGTCTGGGCAATGAAGTGAGACTCTAAAAAAAAAAAAAAAAATCCCACCAAGTTTTATTTTAGGTATATATCTATACGTATATATACATGTATATATATAATAAAAATATATAATATATATAGACTAAAGGACTAGAATAGCTAAAACAATTTTTAATTTTCAAGAGGAAAAGTATATCAATTAACCAAATTTCAAGACTGATTATATTGCTGTAGTAATCAAGACTATAATATTGACAGAAGGATAGACACACAGATTAATGAAATAGAATGGAGAACCCAGAAATAGCCTCCCAGACACATGCTGAAATACTTTTTATCAAAGATGTAAGAATGATTCAATGGAGAAAGGATAACCTTTTCAATAAATATGCTGAAAGTACTCTACATCCAAAGGCAGGAAGAAAAGAAAAGGAGAAAAGAAAAAGGAAAAGAAAAGTGGAGAGGAGGGAAGGGAAGGGAGAGAGGGAGAGAAAGAAAAGAAAGAAAGAGGAAGCGAAAAAGAGAGAAAGGAAGGAAGAGGAGGAAGAGAAAGGAGGAGGAGAAAGGAGGAGAGAGGAGGAGGAGAGAGGAGGAGGAGAGAGGAGGAAGGGAAGAAGAAGGAAGAGGAGAAGTGGGGGAGGAGGAAGGAAGGAAGGTCGGTCAAACTAAGTGTCATACTTTATACAGTATACAAATTAACGCAAAATGGATCATGGAAATAAATATAAAACATAAATATTTTAGAAAAAAATAGGCGAAAATATTTGAGACTAAAGGCTGGACTTGACACCAAAAGCACAATTCATAAAAGAAAAAAAAGGATAAACTGGCCTTCACTGAATTTTAAAACATTTGCTCTATGAAATATTATGAAAAGCTAAGCTACAGGGTGGGAGAAAATATTTGCAAACCACATATTTAACAAAAAGACTAGTATTGAGAATATATAAAGAACTCTCAAAAGTCAACAGCTGAAAAACAAAAAATTCAATTAGAAAATTTGCAAGACATGAACAGAGTTTTCACCAAAAAAGATGCACGGATGGCAAACGAGCACAGGAAAGGATGTTAAATAACTTATTGCATATTTCAAAATAACTAGAAGAGTGGAATTAGAATGTTTCTAAAACAAAGAAAAGATAAATGTTTAAGGTGATGGCTATTCCAATTAACCTGATTTGATCAACACTGGGTATGTTCATATCAAAATATCACATGTACCCCATATAACTATTATGTGTTCACAAAAATTAAAAATTAAAACATTTTTAAAAAAGATGTTACATTTGATTATCCATTAGGGAAATGCAAATTAAAATCACAATGAGATATCACTGTACACCCAGCAAAATGGTAAAAATTTAGAAGTAGTAACAGCACAAAATGCGGGCAAGTATGTGGAGAAACTAGATCACTTACCCATTGCTATTAGAAATGTAAAGTGGTATAGCCGCGCTGATAAACTGTTTGTCAGTTTCTTTAGAAAGTTTTTAAGAACTAAATGTACAACTACTCACCAACCTGGCAATTGCACTTCTGGTCATTTATCTCAGAAAAATGAAAACTTATACAAAAACCTGTATATAAATATTCTTAACAGTTTTATTTGTAATAGCTAACAACTAGAAATGGCCCCAAATTATTTCAACAGATGAGTGGTTAATCAAACTGTGATAATTGATACCATGGAATAGTACTCAGTCATAAAAAATAGATTTTTGATACACCCAAGAACATAAATGAATCTACAGAGAATTATGCTAAGTGGGAAAATTCAATTCCAAAAGGTTGCATGCTGTAAAATTCCATTTATATAACGTTCTTGAGATGACAAAAATTATAGAGTTGGAGAATAGATTAGTGGTTGTCAAGAATTAAGAATCTTTTTGGTGAAAGAAATGTTTTGTGGTTTTTTTGTTTTGTTTTGTTTTGTTTTTTTGAGACAGGGTCTTGTCATGTCACCCAGCCTGGAATGCAGTGGTGTGATCCATCACGACTCACTGCAGCCTCAACCCGGGCTCATGTGATCCTCCTGTCTCAGCTTCCCAGAATGTTAAAATTACAGGCATAAGCCACTGCACCCAAGCTGTTTTGTATCTTGACTGTATCAATGTCAATTACTTGTTTGTGATATTATACTCTAGTTTTCCAAAATATTACCATTATGGGGAAATAAGTAAAGAGCACATGGAGTTCCTCTGTATTATATCCTACAACTGCATGTGAATCTATAATCATCTCACAAAAAACAGCTTAAGTAAAGATATTTAAAGATTGAAGTAAACAGTAAACTAGAAGGAACACCAGTTAAGGTCAATAAAATCGAGTATAAATTAGTCCTCAAAAAGAACAAACAATTGAACCAGAGAAATTAAAAATTATTTTTTGAATTATTTTAATTCCTAAAAAGCAATATAAAAACACGTCATTCACTTGTGTACATGTTCAATACTTCATTTATTTATTATGCAGAGCCTTATTGGATATTAACTAGAAACTTTGAGGGCATTATCCTTCCCAAGACACTTAAAATTGTACAGAACATTGAAAATGCCATTTCTCATGGACCTTCAACATTGATTAAATGTTTCTATGATGTTATTTTATTACACACAAACATAAAATTAGGAATTATGTCCTTAGGGTTATTGTACTCATGCAACAATGAAGTAAGTGCTGAAATCTGTGGCAGTGCCTGGCTATAACTGGCTTATTCAAATGATCTGGAATGTGCCTGTGCAAACATAAAAATACAAAATGTTCAAAAATTAAAACACAAACATAACATTATCAGAAGTAATATTCAGCCTCTTTGGGGTCCACAGATCTTGTGTGGAAAATTCTAAAGCGTTTATATGCAAATAAATAAAAATGAAAACCTAATAAAATAATAACCACAAAACCTTGTAGATTAACAAGGAGTAATCTAATGATGTATATAGATATATAATACAGAATGTATTTCTCCAGTCCATTTGAGAAAGAGCTGCTATTGGTGACAGGAAAAAATGGGGGAAATATCTGGCCCAAAAGTGAACCAAAAATAGAATCTTAAAACCAAAAAATACATAAAAAAGAGAAAGGATAAAATGAACTAAGCTACCTGGGCTGAAACAAAAGATCCTGAGTGAGTAAGTAAGTAATGCTTAGTAAGCGTGCAATTGAGTTTCTGAGAGCAGATTCTATATTTACACAGATGCATAAGGAACTCAGATTTAATTAAGAATTAATGCAAGAATGATGGTTATGACCTGTCACTAAATATTGCTGAGAAAGTCCCTTCTTTATGTCATTAAATATAGAAAATAAAAATTTTAATCTGCTTGAGATTTATTTGTATTAGGCAATATTCAAATTGAATTAGATGGTTTAAATAAAGAGAATTTAATACAAAAAATCATTACAAAGTTAAGGGAGAGTTAAGGAAACATATAAATGATTTAGAGGCATCAAGAAACTAGCAACAACAATCAGTTACCCACTCCTGGGCTTGAAGGGACAAGAGGAGAAACACAGAGCACACTGAGAGCTTGATCTTGGAGAGAGATCACCCTGCAGGAGCTACAGTCCTTTGGAGATTCAGTTACAAGCAAAGATATCAGGTTGGATTCTCTCTCTCTCCTTCCTCGCTCCTCAAACGTCCAGCATTCCAGAAGGGGCATCCAGGGAATGTAGTCTGTAGGCATCAGCCTCCTGCTTTTAAGAAAGAAGTCAATAATTGCTGTGAAGGTGAAGGAAACAAAGAGAATAACCAAGACATTATTTAACCATAATAATACATAAGGGTATCAGTCAAATGACAATAAACCTATTTCAAACTCTTCCAGATTCATAATCCTGGGACACCTTCACATCTACTTCCTAAAAAAAAAAAATGGAAAATTCATGACATCGTAAAGTAGTGATTTACAAAATTTGACACTTAAGCTAGATGTTTTACCTCTTTAAGAATAAAAAGGCATTGCAATAGCCTTCTGTGATGCCTCTCACCAGGTCTCTGGATCATGGGAAGCAGATTTCCCAATCATTCGAAGTTTTAGCTAATTTGTAAGAGTAGCAAAAAACGAGGTTTTAAAATAGCACTTCAAGGATTTGAACACAGGTAGTAGATGTCTTACTATATAATTAGACTACCAGTTTGATATACACGAGATGGATTATTCCTGATACCATAAATAAAACTATTTTTTATGACAAAGAAAAAGGTTGTTAAAATTTTGAGATTCAGATCAAAACATACAACTATGTAAATCATTACTTCACCATTATTGATTGAAAGCAGTTTTTCATCTAATTCTATTATAAAATATCCCACAACCCAGGCCGGGTGCAGTGGCTCATGCCTGTAATCCCACCCAGCACTTTGGGAGGCTGAGGCAGGCAGATTGCCTGAGCTCAGCAGTTCGCAACCATACTGGGCAACAAGGTGAAACCCTGTCTCTACTAAAATACAAAAAATTAGCCAGTTGTGGCTGCGTGCACCTGTAGTCATAGCTACTTGGGAGGCTGAGGAAGGAGAATTGCTTGAACCCGGGAGGCAGAGGTTGCAGTGGGCCGAGATCGTGCCACTGCACTCCAGCCTGGGCGACAGAGCAAGACTCTGTCTCAAAAAAAAAAAAAAAAAAAAAATCCCACAACCCAAGTATTAAAATCAGATCTCAGTGTTCATTATAAAATTTTCTAGTTATATTTTTAAACCTTTACAAATTTATCACTTTACTAAAAGGTTAAGGGAGTGATTATTTAAGTTTAATATTATGTCATTCTGTTTAACTTTGTATTTCCATGTATGCTAATTTATAGGACAGTACGGAGTATAAATTTTAATACTCCCCAAAGGAGAGTAAAAGTACTTTTGGCATTATGATTTTGAAAAAACCTAATTTATTCAGATTTCCTCACTGATTCATGTTTAGAAACATTAAGTATAAATAATCCATCAAGATAAATTTTAAATGGACTATGCACAATTAAGTTAAACATATTTAGAAAGACCAAAATATCTCAAGCACTAAGGCACTTGCTCTCTAGTAAGTAACTGTTTGGAAATCAAATGCAGACCCAAATTTTCCACCTGTTTCATTCTGAATATGAGAATAAGGATTTAACATGGTTGGAAAGAAAGGTATATCACATCATCTCTTGCAAAAGCCATTATAACCGTTTTATTGGGAAAGGAGCTTGCATAAAAATTTCAGGTGCTAATAAACTATCTATTACCATTTTATATTTCTCTTGGGCTGATTATTCTGGTGAAATATATGTGTATTTCTTTCCAAGTTCACCTTTTAAATTTCTTTAAAATCTTTGTGAAAAGTCACTATTCCAGAAATATATACCTAAAAGGTAGCCCATTGTTTAAAAATTAACATTATAGTATGAATTCTCATGCCCATCTAGATACCCTTCAGATCAATTCAAAGAACAAATAATTTGATGGTGGATATATTTGTGCAAAATATCATGGACACTTCTACCATTGGTACACAACTAGTCCACCCTTCTAATGAACTTGGCTTTCTCCTTTGCTTCAAGATGTTGGTGGTCTTAATTAAGCAACCAAATAGGTCTGGCCTGGTTATTTAAAGCAAAATGGGGCATATTGGGAATTACTAGGGTGGTTCAGGACTTACCAAGCATGGCTGAGTGAAGCAGGATAAAAGGAAGAAAGCAGATACAGCTATACACACAAAATACTGGAACCAAAGTCCAGTCTGGCAACCTTAGTGGCCAGGAATCAGTCTCAGCCTGCAGGTAAGCCAAGTGGGCAAGATAAAAGTGGCAGCTGTTCCAACAGGTAAGAGAAACATAGTGATGGGGAATTTCATGAAGGGGGGTTATATCACCAGTTCCAAGCAGGGTATGAAATACTAGTATCAGAGCAGTCTATTAAAAGGGAACAAAATTTAGTCATCTAGCTGACGTTCTGACTCAGAGAAGTAACATCATCTGACATACATTTTAATAAGGATCTCTAGATGCCAGGAAGGCCATATAGGAGTCTGTGCAATCACCCAGACAACAGACGATGCTGGCTTGAAACACTGTGGTGAATTCTATATGTAATTTTGCAGTGAGCCCCACGACATTTACTGATAAACTAGATATGGAATGTGGGAGAAAGAAAGGCAGTATAGATATTATTTTGAAAGCTAAGCGACTGAAAAATTGAATTATCATTAACTAATGTGAGCATATAGTAGATCATGACTTCTGAAACTTTAACATGGTACTTTTGAAGGGTACTTAAGAGTACTTAACAGATACTACTGTACCCTTAAAGGTACTTAAAAAGGATACAATTAATTATCCTGAGAAAACAGGTGAAACTAGAGTACATTTAATGAGGAGGAAAGACTGTAGGAGGAACTGAAGTGGGGGTGAGGTGTTGGATATCAGAAACTAAGTTTTGGATATGTTAATAGACCTATGAGATATCTTAAGGAGAGGGTCTTAGTTCTTGCAGCTATAACAAAGTACACCATAGACTGTGTAATTTATAAACAACACGAATGTATTTCTCAACTTTCTGGAGGCTGGAAGTCCAAGATCAGAGTGCCAGCATGGTCAGATTTTGATGAGGGTTGGAGCCTACCATCTTCTCATTGTATCCAAGTTGGAGACTACCATCTTCTCATTGTATCCTCATATGGCAGAAATAGAGTAGGAGAGAGCTCTCTGAGGTCCCTTTTATAAGGGCACTGATCCCATTTATAAGGGTGGAGACTCCCAAAGGTCATACCTCCTAATACTATCACATTGGTTGTTAGGGTTTTAACATGTGAATCTAGGAGGTACGGAGACTTCAGTTCGTTGCAGAGAGATTGCATGTAAGTCATGGAATTTATGGTTCTGAATTCAGGAGAGAGTTCTGGACAGGAATACAAATTTTAGTGTCATCAGCACATTGTTGGAATTTAATGTCTTGAGATGAAACTGGATCAGAGCAAAAGGAAGTCAGTAGCTTGCTAAGAGGCCAAAGGACTGAGCTTTGAGCCACTTTTGTATTTAGAAGAAAGGAGGATGGGGACATGCCAGTAATGAATGAATGAATGAATGAATGAATGATATGGAATGAATTCCTGTGACCCATTAAGCCATTAATGTATAAATTTTTCCAATGCAGATATATCTCAATGCAGATATAACCTATTAAAATATATATCTAACTTGTTTTCAGAAGTTAACACCTCTGAGTTTTTCTAATACTAAAATATTGGTAGACTTTCAAATATGTAAGAAAATGATGAATCTTAAACTACTTATTGAAATCTAATCAAACTCTATTTATTCACACTGCCAAAGAATTTAAAAACTCCCACCTTTCATTAAACAGTATTACAATACTCTCATTAAACCTTCTGCTAATGCCCCAGAAATTAAATAGAATACATCACAGCCTGTGTCCTGATCCAACTCTAGCTGAATATTATAATCACTAATAGGAGGTTGCCAAGTTCAAGTTCCCAAGGGATGGTAAGAAACAAAATAAACCTTTGTAAAATTATATTTGTATAAAATTTACCAGGACAATGTTGAGAAAGATCACAAGCCAGAGTGTGGACAATATCCTCATCTGTTAGTCAACTTCTTAGTAAAGCAAAAATAGAAGGCTTCTGGCACAAAATCAAAGACTACATTTTGAAATGAACAAGATTAACAGGAGAACAATCAAGGTTTTAAAATTTTAAATGCCCATCCTAAAAATTCCTTCTAGATACATTTCTTTGTTTAATGTTTTTAAGATTGAGAATAAGTGTTACTTCAACTAAAAATCTATTCTATTCAATTTTTATTACTTTATCATGTAATAAATGCAATTCATAATAGACAAGGGAAAGTAAAATTAAAATTGTTTAAAATATAGTTTTCATGGAGTTGGGAAAGTTTCATTTTTCCTAAGGTCTCTGGTGTTCAAATGCTTTTATAAAATACATAATGTTTTTAAAACACTACCTCTAAACTTGAGAATTTTTTGTAACAAACCTGAGAACAACCAAAAGAGAGAAATTTTGGTCTAAGACCAAATTGTATCTCTAAGATCAAATTGCTTGTAAGATATTTTGTTTTAAATGTTCAAAACACAACTTGTCCAAAACATAGAACACATTTGCCATCTTCTAACTTAAGGTGACAACTTTCCCCAGTATTCCCAGAATTGGCCAAAAAGCCCTCTGCTCCAATTCTCTTGTTTAAAACCTTAAAGCATTTTTACTATTTTTTGTCTTTTTTTCTCATCAACCTTTGTCTAACCAAATACTATTTTTTGAAAATATATTATTTTCGCAGAGCAACTCTGCATAAGAAACATTCACTATTTAAAATACTGTGTTCTTTTCTCATTGATCCCAGGAAATTATGTCATTAAGACTGATGGGTCAAGCCCATCAAGGTTTTGTTTTAGTTTTGAGATAAGGTCTTGTCACTCAAGCTGGAGTGTAGTGGCATGACCACAGCTCACTGCAGCCTCGACCTCTCAGGCTCAAGTAATCCTCCCAACTCAGCCTCCTGAGTAGCTGGGACCACAAGCACACATATTTTTTATAGAGATAAGATCTCACTATGTTGCCAGGGCTGATCTCGAACTTCTGGACTCAAGTGATTCTCCCATCTCAGCCTCCCAAAGGGCTGAAATTATAGGCATGAACCACTATGCCTGGCCTTCATCAAAAGTTTTTTTTTTTTTTTTAAATTCCATTAGCTGTCAACAAAGCATACAAAAGTCCCACTGACAGAGAGCTTATATTCTATTTAGGGATCCAATAAACATATCAATACATTATACTATATGAGAGGGAATAGGTTCTAAAAAGAAAAGAAGAAAGATAGGTGCTACCGAGTGTTGGAAAGAATGTTCAATTTTAAACAGGAAAGGGCTCACTGAGGGTTGATATGTCAGCTAAGATCTGAAAAAGGGAAGGAAAGAAGGCCATGAGGGGGAGATTTCAGGTAAAAGGAACAAGTACAAAGACCTAGAGTTTTGAGGAACAGAAGGAAGCTAGTGTGGCTGGAGCAGAGGGAGCAAAGAGAGATAAGTGTGGGTGCTCTTAGAGAGTTCTGGCTCAAGCCAGAACTTGTTGAGCATTGTGGAACATTTTCAGAACTTTGGCTTTTCCTGTGAGTGAAATTGGCAGCCACTAGAAAATTCTGAGCAAAGAATGACAAGCTTTGATTTACTTCTGATTGCTATTGAAACTAACCCAATAGTCCCATAGGCAGTTTTTTTGGATAAACATAGAAATTGATACTTCTGGTATTAAAGCTTGAAACTTACATTTGTTTTATCAGAGTTCCTTCAGCAGGAAACAACCCTCAGACCTCTCAAAAAGTATCGAAGAACTAAAACTAACCAGATCACCACATCTAGACAATGAGATGCCAGACCCCTCCTCCTCATGATTGCTTTCTTACCCCTTCCTAGTTCCTGTTTTCCAACACATAGTTACATTTCTTCCCTGGTATATAATCCCCTAACTTTAGTCAGTCAGGGATTGAGACTGATCTCTAATCTCCTTGGCTGCAGCAACTGATTAAAGCCTTCTTGGCAATACTCATCATATCAGTGATTGGCTTCCTGTGCTGTGAGCAGCAGGACCTAGACTGATGTTTCGGTAACACTATGTTGAATACAGAATGTAGGGATCAAGAATGGAAGCCAAGAGACCAGTACTCCAGGAAAGGCAGGATGACGAGTGCTCAGAACAGGGTGTGAGGAATAGAGGCAGAGGACAGCATGCAATTCTAGTCTATCCTGAGAGTAGAACCCACTGTATTTAACAACAGATGATGTGCATGTGATGAAACAGCGAGAGTAGTGCCCCTGAGATGGGGATAACTATGGTAAAGCAGATGTGAGAGTGAGATTTGATTCAACTGTGGATATATTAAGTTTGAGATATCTTTTAGATACTCAAGTGAAGGTCTTGGAGGAGTATGAGGTTTAGGGAGATGAGGTCATTAAGTCATGAGAGTAAACAGAAGAGAGCTAAGCTCCAAGGGTATCCAGTATTAGGAGTTCTCTGGGAAGGGAAGAAAACATTTCTAGAATTTCTATTTGGCTCTTTTTCGGATGAAAAAGATGAATTCTTTCTTCATCGTTTGCTATTCTCTTTATGTTTTGATTCTTCATTCTGATCCTTAATCATTCTAAACATACAGCTTTATAGTATCTTTAAGATTGTTTTCCTAATATTGAAAGTTCTTGATGTTCCCACCCTTCCATGGGAGAGTCCTTTTACAATGGATGGCACATTTAGTTTGCAAATGGCCCAAATAAATATTAATTTCTGTATTTGATTTCTCTTCTTGGGGGATCCCAAACCACAAACACATGGGACATATAGCCCAGGATTTTTATTATCTTCAGTGGAGGCTCCTTTTCCAGAACCCAGACAAAAACATACAAGATTCCTGCGCAGTTTCTTTTTAAAATTTTACCATTAGCGTAAAATCTTTTGAGGATCTAGACTTTAATAGAAGATTTCTATTCAAGCCTCCCTTCTCTTGGACATTCAAGGCTCTATCTTCAGTCTTCCCAAGGCATTAAAACCAAACTCAGCACTAGTATTTTCCACCTCTCTGGAGAAACAGTAGGTGAATATCACTGGGTGGTGGAGGATGAGGGGTTATAAGTGATTTTTAATTTCTTTTTATATTTCTGTACACTGTTTTTACAGTGAAAACAAATATTTTATAATGATAAGAAAAGCAAACCAAAAGTGATTTTGTAAGTGTTCTCTGTGATTAAGATACCCACAATATGCAACACATTCTATTCTGTGTAACATGGAATTACCCACATGTCTGAGAAAGAATGCATTTTCTATGAAGATCAACGTTGGAAATATGTGCAGAGCTTGTCCCCTGTGGTACAAGGAAGTCATTGGGACTTCTAAAGGATGCTGAAGTGGCTTTCAATTTTACCTTTAAACCCGGTTGACTGAACTACAAATGAGGTGCCAATTATTTCAGTATGGTAGAAACATCTTAATAAAAATGGAGTATGTCCCAGTCATCTGAATCATTGGTTTACACGACATAAACTTGTGACCTTTAAAGAAATAACCATGTTAATTGTATTTTTTAAATCTGCTTGTTGAATGCAGTCATAATGTGGACTGTCTAAAAAGAAAATTTTCTTCCATTTTATTTTTAAGGTGTCTGACAAATTTTATTAGATAAAGAGATGGAAATAAAGAAGGTTATTATAGGAATGTTTCTACTTAAGAAGTTCTTCCTGGTTGAAATATATTTCTGTATAAAGAAAAATGACTGAGATACCGTTTCAGAGAGACCAGATTCCCTGGTGACTATCTTAACCTTCTACTTTATTTTACCCGTGTAAATACAGCCTCAGAAAATTCTTTCTCCTCTTTTCCCTCTCTAGAAAGAAATTCTCATTTTACTGTAGCTGATTTCTCAATGTAGCAATTTGAGATTTGCTATCTCAGATTTGGTATCTCAGCCATATTTCTCTGTCAAATCGTTGATCTTAAAAAAAAAAAACATGCCAAATGAAGGCAATGAAAGGAATACTTTTATGAAGTTCTCAATTTTGGAAGATGGTTAAATATTGAAAAGTTACTCCTCCCCATTATATCTATTCTTGAATCTTCTTGAAAATTCATATTTTATCTTTAAAATTTTATTTTATTTTAATTGGCAAATTATAACAATTATAGTTATTTATGGTGTTTAATGTAATGTTTTGATATATGTTTACATTGTGAGATGATTAAATCAAGTGAATTAACATAGTCTTCACCTCACATATCAATTTTTGGTAGTGAGAACATTTAAAATCTAATATTTAAGCAATTTGAATATACAATGCATTATGATTTATTATAGTCACTATTCTGTAAAATAGATCACTAAAACTTACTCCTGCTGTCTGGCTGAAACTTTGTCCCTTTTGATCAACACCCTTGTTTCTCCATCCCCTCCCTGCCCCAGGCAGCCTCTGATAACCACCATTCTTCTCTCTATGTCTATGATTATGACTTTTTTAGATCCTGTCTACAAGTGAGATCATGTGGTATTTGTCTTTCAGTGACAAGTCTAAGTCTTATTTCACTTAGCATAATGTCTTCCAGGCTCATCCATGTTGTAGCAGATGACAGAATATTCTTCTTTTTAAAGGTTGAATAGCATTCCATTGTATATATGGCATACCACATTTCCTTTCCCATTCATCTATTGATGGACACTTTGGTTGCTTCAACATATTAGCTATGGAAGAAATGGAGAAAAGAGAATTCTTGTTCATTGTTGGTGGGAATGTAAATTAATACAGTACAGCCATTATTGGAAATAGTTTGGAAGTTCCTCAAAAAACTAAAAATAGAACTAACATCTGATCCAGCAATCCCACTTCTGGGTATAGATCCAAAGGAACTGAAATCAGTGTGTTGAAGAAATATCTGCACTACCGTGTTCATTTCCCTTGAATCTTAATATAGTTTATTGTACATTTACTGAAATAAAAATTCAGACAAATAGGATTCAAGTAATAAGTTGAGTAAATTGAATGTAAAATGAATTTTCAGATAGCACATCTCAAATTGCTACATTGAGAAATCAGCTACAATAAAATGAGAATTTCTTTCTAGAGAGGGAAAAGAGGAGAAAGAAGAATTTTCTGAGGCTGTATTTACATGGGTAAAATGAAGTAGAAAGTTAAGATAGTCACCAGGGAATCTGGTCTCTCTGAAATGATATCGCAGTCATGAAATTCTGTCTCCTCATTTTTCTTTCTAATCATCTCTTTTATTTCAGTGACATGTCTGAGGTGATTTTCAAGCAGAAATACTCTAAATCTATTTTTATAGCTTCCAACGAGGCTTTAACAGAATCATGTGGAATGTGGGTTTTATAAATTCTCCACTACAATTTCTCTATATAGACTCAAAGAAAGGGTTTGAAAGCCTGCTCTTCATCTTTTGTCACCAGATGACAAGTTCTATTCTTTTCAGGAAAGACTAATCTCTGGGAGTTCATCCTGGTAGGTGTGTAGAAAAGTCTAGAAAAATAAGTTTAGATGATCTCCATTTTCCAAAGATCTTTTAAAAGTACTTTAACTTCTTGAAGCAATGCAGACAAGGAAAGAGAAGTTATGATTCAAAATACTCTTGCCAGAATTATATTCTCTATGGGCCAAGGGAGTTTACAGCTACAGACGGAATTAACGAGCAACACATCACATTCTTGCCTTCTTCTCTTGTTCTCCTCTATCAGAAGGATTAGTACAGAAAAATGTTCTGGAATTTCTTAAAAAGAAAAATATACAAAAGTTTCCATTTGGACCTAAACTGTTACTCATCTGCTCCTGGGTTTGCTTTCCTCTGGAATCATAATTGTAAACAGAGTTTCTTAGTAATACTAATGTAACCCTGTAATTAGAAAGTGCATGAAAGAAGCTATATTTCCATTTTCCCTATTTATGCTGTACTTTTTTGGAAAGAGACATGGCGTTTGGGGTTGGGGGCTAAATGAGGGTGGACAATGTTTCTTCTGTGTTTTAGTAAATAGTTTCGAAAAGTTCCTCCATAGAAGCTGTTTTTTTGTTTTCACAATAAATGAAATTATGCTGAAGTATGAAGATGTATTTCCCATTAAGACACAGAGAAACCCAAAATTTCTTCCCACCTTTTGGTTAACAATCTATTGTTCTTCTGTAAATCCAACAGATATGCTTTAAGAAGAAAAGTGGTTGGTAGTGGAGATAGGTAAGACATTTATTTAAATAAGGCACTTTAGAAACTTAGCTTTCTAGCGATTTAATTTAAATGTGGAGAGAAAAAATAACTGCTAGAACCAACAAATTACAGGAGGTAAATTAGTGGAAATACATCATATGTTTACAGATATCTTTTTCCCAATAAGCTTAAGATTCATTAAAGACGGCCGGGCGCGGTGGCTCACGCCTGTAATCCCAGCACTTTGGGAGGCCGAGGCGGGTGGATCATGAGGTCAGGAGATCGAGACCATCCTGGCTAACAAGGTGAAACCCCGTCTCTACTAAAAATACAAAAAATTAGCCGGGCGCGGTGGCGGGCGCCTGTAGTCCCAGCTACTCGGGAGGCTGAGGCAGGAGAATGGCGTGAACCCGGGAAGCGGAGCTTGCAGTGAGCCGAGATTGCGCCACTGCAGTCCGCAGTCCGGCCTGGGCGACAGAGCGAGACTCCGTCTCAAAAAAAAAAAAAAAAAAAAAAAGATTCATTAAAGACATTTTTTATTTTGATTCCTGTAAAGTAAGTAGGAGACATGCATTATATTTTTCAGATTATAATCCAAAATGATAAAGCAAAGAGAGACTTCATAACCTGATAAAGTAATTGGCAAATTCTTCATACCACAGAAACTGACACGAGTGCTCCAGCATTCTACACAGCATTGTAGTTATTAGACTACGTGTGATTAATTTGGTATGAATGAATATTGCAACTAAATTATATTTATAGAAACAGTTAATAGACTTGACCTTAAATGTTCACTAAGTAAGAAAAATAGCCTCCTGTTAGCCAAATACGGTCATGGCTAGGTGGATGTGCTACTAATTACACCAGACTCTTCCCTGAAATATTTCATCACCATTCTGGAATACATGTTGCTTCCCTCTTTAATTATGTGTTTGGACAGCAAGCTGCTTTCTGGAATCAGAGACGTAGCCATTCAGCTTCTATCCTCTGAATTGAACTGGATGACCCTGCCTTATAAAAGAAATAGCAAAAAAGGCACTGACCACAGGTCTGTCTGCTGGATCCAAAGATATATGTATGGGTAGCAGTGTGGGCACTGTTAGGGAGTATGTGTCTTTTTTTTTTTTTTTTTTTTTTTACAATCATCTGTTGAAGGGTCAGAAACTAAAACGGGAAAGAGGAAATAAGAGCATAGAGCTGATGCTGTTGATTGTGAGGCTGACCATTTTATCTTGGAAATTCTTCAAGTTAAGATTGGGGCTTGGTGATGAATGAAGATAAGAGAGGCAAGATGACTCCAAGGAGAGATTCAGAAAATGCAGATCAGGCACTCCCACGGATGTCAGTCTAATCAAGCCTGCAATTGATCAATGTAAAATTTGGACTGTACTAGCTAAATATATTCAAATAGCATGCACCTGTGCCCTATGTTAGGGAGTCTTAATAAGTTAAATTAAATTGCAACCATATTGTTTTTTATTTTGTGCCAACATAACCAAATCTGAAAACAATGCAATAGGAAATTACTAATGCAATCAAAAGTCATTAATATGTCAAAGAGTTATCCTTCTTGTCAAGTTTGATATAGTGTTTCTGTATTTTTCCAAAACCAGTTTCAACCCAACTTCCCTTAGTGGTTTCGAAAATGAAAACAGAGCAAGTTGAGACAGTGTATTATTGCCTCCAACTCTATTCCCACAGGTGGATTTAAGTTAGTGCTACACAATCCAAATTGTTAAAGAATTGGCAGCTGCAATATTGTAGTCTGTAGCTCATTCCAACTATTCTAAGAAGAAGCAACATAACAAGTTTTTTTTTGAATATAGATTCCTTTACTAATATTTAGAATGTTATATGTGGGAGAGATCTTAGAAACCCTTCCATTTTTTTAGATAAGGAAGTTGAGTGCCAGACAGGTTGTTTGATTTGTTCAAGGACACGCAATTAATGTAGAGTAGGAGGGCCAAGAACTCCAGTGTTTTGGCTCATAGTCAGGTGATTGCAATGGGAGACTTCAAATATTTACTATTTCACTTTTTATATGTTTTGTTGTTGTCATGATTATTCTTTTCCCAGTAACTATGACAAAGTTCACTTCAAAGTTCTCAGTTGGAGTGGAAAGAGGGCATGGACTCTGGACATACTGAAATGGAAAAATTGACAGACCTGAAACAGAAGTGAACTAGATAAGTATTCTCAGAAAATGGAACTTTGTTCTTTTTTTCAGATCTTTCTTACTGGCTGCAGTTTGCTTCACTTCTTAGAGTTTATTTGTTCCTTTAGAAAATAAGAATCACATCCTTTGACCTGCCTACTTTAATGGGTGGTAGGAAGTCTGAAATTCAGCAGTTTAGACAAAAACTTTTTTTTTTTTTTTTTTGAGATGGAGTCTTGCTGTTGCCTGGGCTGGAGTGCAATGGCGCCATCCTGGCTCACTGCAATCTCTGCCTCCTGGGTTCTAGCAATTCTCCTGCCTCAGCCTCCGAAGTACTTGAGATTACAGGCATCTGCCACCATGCCTGGCTAATTTTTATATTTTTAGTAAAGATGGGGTTTCATCATGTTGGCCAGGCTGGTCTAGAACTCCTGACCTCATGTGATCCACCTGCCTCGGTCTCCCAAAGTACTGGGATTACAGGTGTGAGCCACCATGCCCAGCCTAGATGAGAACATCTTATAGACTGTAAGACACCTTGAGTATAGGCCATTATCTTAGAATGCCACTCATCTTTTTCAAGATTTCCAAATTGGGTTTTTCACTGGTGAGAAATAATAACATCAGTACAGAAAAATGCTTACCATTGATTAGAAGGAGAAAATTTGGTCCAAAGTCCTCTCCTGCTTAGGACTGTCAAAAATCAGAACAGGCCGAGAGTGGTGGCTCACACCTGTAGTGCCAGTGTTTTGGGATGCTAAGGCAGGAGGATTGCTTAAGGCCGGGAGTTTAAGACAAGGCTGGGCAACACAGCAAGACTCCACCTCTACAAAAACTTAAAAATAAATAGCCAGGCATGGTGGTGTGCATCTGTGGTCCCAGCTGCCTGGGAGGCTGAGGTGGGAGGATTGCTTGAGCCCAGCAGTTTGAAGCTACAGTGAGCCATGATCCCACCACTGCACTCCAGCCTGGGTGACACAGCAAGATCCTTTCTCTAAAAGTAGGTAGATAGATGATAGATAGATAGATAGATAGATAGATAGATAGATAGATAGACAAATTAAAAATCTGGATGGCAAACACACCAAGGGCAAGACCTTGAGGCAGACAGATACATTCGTAAATGAAATGTTTATCAGTTTTAGCCTAGAGTGAGATGTTAAGATAAGTGCTATTTTTCACTTCACTTTCGAAAGTAGTTAAGGCAATTATTTCTGATGACTTGTATTACCTTAGAGAAAAATATGTGTTCATACATCTTATTAAAAAATTCTGTTTGGGTCTGAAACATTATTATAAAACTTTTTTTCTAATGTAATATTTTAAGATGATATTCATATTTTTATAAGCTCTACAGTGTTGCATAAAAATAAAAATATTTAGCATTTAAAATTACTTGGAGTCAATAACTTTCAATTGTTATGCTGTCTAGAATTCCGTACTTTCCTCTGATATAACTTTTTATATTATGAAGCTATTTTGAAAGACTAGAATGAGATTTAGAATTACTACATCTATACCAGATGAATTCTTTTTGAGAGAACTGACAGACTAAATTAATTATGGAAGAAAAAAAGGAAGAAAGAAGAGAGGCAAGGAAGAGAGAGCAAGGGGAAGGAAGGAAAGAAGGAAGGAAGGAAGGATGGAAGGAAGGAGAAATGGAGGGAGGGAGAGAGGGAAGGAGGGAAGGAAGGAAGGAAGAGAAAGAAAGAAAATAAGCCCTTAAAATGAACTATTTAATCATTATTAATTTGTCCATATTTATTGTAAATAATTTTAAATACACTTCTAATGCTTTGTAGTTTTCTGCATACAAGTTATGCTGGTCTTGTCAGTATTGTCTTAGAATCCAAACATTTACAAAGGAAGTAATATTTACATATAATTAAAATAACATTTATTATCTTCTCTTTCAAAGCATCTGTACCTTCTGGTGTCATCAACATTTTCTTCATTACCTATTAAAGTATACTGCTTATTATGCATTTTCCTCCTTCATTTTTGTAAATATTTTATATATAGTAGAGTTCAATTTATAAATGTTCATAAACTTACAACTCAAAAGAAATTTGCCTAATTTACCTAATTCCCATTTCATTGCCTTAGGATGAATAGAGGCCAATAAAGTACGACATGTGGACCAAGCCTAGCCCTGCACCTCTTATTTATAAATAAAGTTTTATTGGAACACTGCTACACTCATTTCTTTGTATATTGCCTATTGTTACTTTTGCATCTCAATGGCAGAAGTGAGAAGTTATGACAGAAGTTGTGTGGCACAAAATATCCTAAAATATTCACTATCTGACCCTTCACAAAAATGTTTTGTAACCCCTGCTTTAGAGGGTCATTGTCAACTTGAGCTTACTAATCATGAGGGGGTGAGTGCTTTCTTACTCAAATCTATCTTCTTGAAAATCCTTGGGAGATACCACGCCTCTCAGAAATTGAACGATAAGATGTATAAGTATATGCACAGTCACTCTGCCTTTTTCTTCCTGTTAGGAATCTACATGATACCTGAGTAGTTGGAAGTGGCTACTCATCCTACTTTCATTGCACATCCTTGATACTGAGTTACCAACTTGTGATTTATCAAACTACTATAAAAATAGCACTATTTTCCTCTCTAGACTTCCCACCTTCCAGACTATATTATCTAGAGTCAGTTCTCAGGATAACTAATATAAATGTCTTTCTTGCCCATGATGTACTAGTATCACCCTATTTTTAGAGTTTTGCTTTAAACCTTTTCTCTAAAATGGCTCAGAATCTCTCATTTCCATTTCTCTCCTTATCTTTACAATCCTTTGTTCCTACACACTTTTGCATATTTATACACACTAACATATGCATATATCACTTATGTATCTATATATTCCTTTACATGATCATATATAACTTTGACCCAGTCCTTCACTATCCTATTCTTACCTCCAAGTATTCTCTTAAACCACATGCTCCATCTAGAATGCACTTAGCCATGAGCCAGCCTCCACAATGTGGATAACATCCCAGAAAATGTTAGGGCAAACAAGAGTATCAAAAGCCTGGGTTCCTGAAAGACCTATTGGAGCAGAGCCACCTATCTACTTTGAACTGCTCATCTATCTCTATGGTTATGTGAAAAAGAAATAAACTTTTTCTTATTTAAGCCACTGTATTGTAGTAGGCATACTTGTTATATCAGCTTAGTCTGTACTCTAATGCATGACTAATTTTATTTATATAATCCTAGATTCCCATTATCTTTTTTAAAAAAATAGTTTTAGTGGTGACAGGTTAAACAGAGAACTCTGGATAATCTAATAACTCTCCTGCTGTGTCTTTCTATGTATCTATTTAGTCCCCATGTAACTTTTTAAAAGTAGCATGTTTCTTCCATTTTGTGTTAATTTCTGTTTGGAATAGAAACACATGTAATCTTTTTGGTAAAATCCAGAGATCTTCCTATCTTGTGAAATTAAAATTTTTGATGCCTTCTCTTGAGTCAAGAAAAATCTCTGTACCTTGATGATTTTGATTCACTAGAATCTTGTAGAGAGATCAGAGGACTATCTGTATCCTGATGAGTGTTTTATCTTCAAACTAAAAGGAGCTATTAAAATAACTTCAGCTATACTTCAATTTAGCCATGCTAATTGTCTCAGTGAATGTTGATAGCTAAATATTCTCTAGAATAACTAAAATTTTTTTCATTGATTTTATGTTTTCCTTCCTTCATAAATGAGCCAACATTGACCTCCTATGCCTAATTATCAAAATGGAATACAGAATGAGAACATTTGCTTTACTTACACAGTAGGAAAAAGCCGAGTAGGATAGGGTCAATCAAATGAGTACAAGCTTCTTAATTTTGGCTAGGGAATTTAACCTTCTGATTTTTTTAAATAATTGAAATGTATGGGGAAAAGATGATCACACAATTATAAAATTCCAGGAAGTATGTATGTCAAATATTTCAAATCTTTTGAGAAAACAGTCCCTGTAGAAATATAAACAGCCAAGATAGTAGGCCTTTCTGATTAAAGAAAGTCTCTCCCACAAGGACCCACCTGATGATCTCAGGAGAGAGTAAACAGTGACTTATAGTGAGTGCGGGATTATATTGAGAGATTTTTGACAAACAGTTCCAAAACTCTGTAAGTTGAAGTTGTTTTAATTCATCATTAAACCAATGTTATTTAAAAAACTAATAATCCTGAAGCAAAATCTACTTATAAAGCTTTGGTTAAATTTACGTTCACATTAATTTTACTTATAGGCTTTAAATTTTCCAACAGAATGACAATTATAAGAAATCTTATAAAGATCAGGGATTTTTTTTTTTTTTTGGCTGACAAGTGAAAACAATTTACCTTTCCAATGGCAAATGGGAATGTGATCAAGCACAAGGAAGGAAACACAATTCCTTGTACTCAAATGGCTAAAATTTAAATACCTTCCTGGTGAAAAATATTTGGAACAAGTTACGCCATCACCTTCAGGATCTCCTCAGTCAGTAATGCCCTGTGGCATGAGGATTGAAGAACTGTTTCTAAGACAGGAGACATCTGTAGTTATCTGTCTCAGAAAGGGAGAAGAGGAAGGGAAAATCCCCTAAAATTATGGAGAAAAATAATAAGAAAGAGACTTAAGCTACCAGAAATCTTCATGAGGCAGTAAAATATGTCACTTTTCCTCTTTTAGTTCAAGAGCACTACATTTTTAAGAGTTCAAATATCTTTTATGTGCCATATTCCTAGTTGATTTCCCAACAATGAACAATATTTTTAGCTTGTTAAATATCATAGTTAAGAAGTGTGGAAAACACTCTTAAACCGTAAGTTCTCATGAAGTCTCAGACAAGAAAATTGAGCTAGTTTGTTTTGATTGAAATGGTGAGTTCATAGGCACCAACCAGCCAAATGCCAAAGTGAGACATTCTGGAATATTAGAATATCACCAGTTTTAGTAAGTTGAAATTTCAGTCACATTATCATATTATGTTACAAATGAATTGCAGTCTCTTGGAAAATATAAGGAAATTAAGTTTTATGTACTCTTTCAGTATTCTGCTCTTCATTTAGCAGGAAAGGAATGTCTTTTTGTAACTGACTTGGACTTTTATCAGATGAAAAAAGACGAAAAGATATTTATTACAGTGTTTTTTTCCATATGAGATAGTTGAAGAGAAAATAAGTGTAATATACTTTATTACCAAAGGATTTTCAGTTATTTTAAGATAGAATCTTATTCTTATTTGCATACTTTGAGAAATTCTCTCTGTGAACCCTGAAGCACCTTAGAGATCAAAGCAATTTTACTGGCAATTTTCCCGAACATTGGCAAGTGTGTCTAGGCCCTTGGAAAAAAATGCTTTTTAAAGTTTGTTTTAAAAGTTTTTCAGTTGTGTTATCTATCTTTGTCAAAATGCCCCATGCAGAGTATGAATAAGCCATTAGAAGGGAAAAATTAATAAAAAGCACTTGTAAGGTGCTTCTGGCTACAGAAACACATCCTTTAAAATTCCTTATTATACTCCACCAGCTCACCCTCTAACTTACTTCTATAACCATCCCAGCTGATTAAGCTACATAATCAAGCTGCACTCACTATAAGTCACTATTTAAGCTACATCATCAGTTGGGATGATTAGAGAAGGAAGTTAGAGGGTAAGCTGGTGTAGTTATTGAAAAAACTTTCTACTTTGTGTTATGATACCACAAATATAGTATTGGGCTACATTGACCATGGGCCCTTTCAGAGAAAGGGATTTTTCAGATGGCAACTACTCAGTTAACATTCTCTGACTCCAGAGAGCCAGAAAAGTAACATTCTGAATCAATTAGCTGAGTTAAGGAGCCAAATGTAATGTGTTTGTTCTACTGGGATGGTTGATACCATTTTGTAACACATCTAGGCTTTCAGGCTGGCGGATTTTGAGTCTCGGTTCTACCACTTACTAGCTGCTGGCAGGAGAGGTGATTGTAGGTGGAAGGAACCTTAGACAAAGTGACTTCATACATTCAACACATTTTTGTTGAGTAGTTATCAGGCATGCAACTATTTGATAGGGATAATAATTCCCACATCACAACATTGCTCTGAGGTTCAAATGAATTAATGAATATTAAGTACTAAACAGAGTGCCAGACATATAATCATGGCTCCACAGAGGGCAGCTACCATTATTGTAATAAGTGAAAACAGCTCATTAAAAGCTTACATTTGGGGATTTACTGTACAAAAATTACATATGTAAAACAATCGTAGACAAGAAGATTGGTTACACAGTGATTAAACCATTTAGGTGATAAGAAAAGATTCTTAAATTCTCTCCAGATATTTGCATTGCCTTATTCTTGCTCATATTATATCCTCCATGTTTATATCCAATAAATAACATACCATATATTAAAAAATAAATTTTTAGTAGAAAAAGCATTATAGGCCGGCCGCGGTGGCTCACGCCTGTAATCCCAGCACTTTGGGAAGCCGAGGCAGGTGGATCACGAGGTCAGGAGATCGAGACCATCCTGGCTAACACAGTGAAACCCCATCTCTACTAAAAATACAAAAAATTAGCAGGGCATGGTGGCAGGTGCCTGTAGTCCCAGCTACTTGGGAGGCTGAGGCAGGAGAATGGTGTGAACTCGGGAGATGGAGCTTGCAGTGAGCCAAGATCACGCCACTGCACTCCAGCCTGGATGACAGAGAGAGACTCTGTCTCAAAAAAAAAAAAAGAAAAAGCATTATAAATATATATGTATACACATTACACACACACACACACACACCTGTTCTCATTGATCAAGGCCAGATGTTCCTAAAGCGTGGTCCATAGAAATCTGAGAATCATCTAAGACACTTTGAGAAAATCGTTTCTATAAAAATATGAAGCTATAACTTGCCTATTTTCACCTTCTTGGCCTTTGCACTGATGGTGCAAAAGCAGTCATGGGTGAAACTGCTGGAGCCTTAGCACAAGTCAAGGTAGTGTACCAGTGGTCATTGTAATTGGCATCATACACTTGCAGTAAGAAAGAAAGGGATACTTTCACTGAAGAATATCAATGATAAAGCAGAACATATTAATTTCATTAAATCTAAACCCTGGGGTACACATATTTTTTACTATTTTGCATGACAAAATGGGATTACGCATAAGGCACTTCAGCTTTATTCCAAAGTATAAAGTAGACTGGTAGTCTTGAGGAAAAGCACTTGTCTGCTTGTTAAGAGTTGTGAGCTGAACTAGCCATGTTTTTCATAGGATTACTTTTACTTTAAATAACTGCTGACAGACAAAGAATGATTATTCAGACTTGGTTATTTGGAGACATTTTGATGAAAATGAATGAAGTGAGCTTGTCATTTCAAGGAAATCAAACATTTTGTTGCCAATAATAAAGAATTTGAGCTTTCAAATGAAATTTAGAATTTTGAAAAACTTGTTATCTGCTCCCATAAACTTGATAATTCCAAATGTGAAATATTTAAATGCTTATCTGTCAATATTAGTTATGATATTAACAAATGTGATTTTTAAATGTTGCGTAACGTGTCAATCTTTGGAAGATCTGTGTAACTCGGAGGACTAATAGTCTTCAGATGACCAATGCATGATCTTACCAAAAAAAAAAAATCTCTTGATAAAATATCTAGTCAAAGTTCAAGGTAGAACAGTGGATTTTAATATAAGAGAATATGAAATGCTTATATACATGATTTCAGATTCAACATTGTAATTACTCTTTAAAAACTACCACTCATTGAGTTTTAGTGTAGTATCAGAGGAGAATATCCACAATTATCTAAAGAAGCTATCAAAATTAATCCTACCTTTTCCAACTATGTATTTCTTGGGTTTTTGTTTTTGTTTGTTTTTGTTTTTTAGAGGCAGGGTCTCAGTCTGTCACCCAGGCTGGAGTGAAGTGGCATAATCATAGCTCACTGTAGCCTCAAACTCCTGAGCTCAAGCAATCTTCTAACCTTAGCTTTCTTACTAGTTGATATTATAGGCAAGCATCTCCATGCCCAGCTAATTTTTTAGAATTTTTTGTAGAGATGAGGTCTCACTATGTTGCCCAGTCAGGTCTCAAACCTCTGGCCTCAAGTGATCCTCCCACTTTGGCATCCCAAAGTACTGGGATTACAGCTATGAGCCACCATGCCCGGCCTCCAACTACATATTGTGTAAGGCTACATTTTCTTAATATACTCCAATCAAAAAAATATATTTCAACAGACTGAATGCAAAAGCAGAAATGAGAATTTACTTGTCTTCTGTAAAGCCAGATAACAAGAGATATACAAAAATGTAAAGCAATGAAACTTCTCAATAATAGTTATTATATTTTTAATATTTATATGAAATAGTTATTTCATATAAAATATATAACTTTGCTATGCATAATAGATTTGTTATTATTTTAAAATAAATATTTACAAAGTTTGTTTTCATTTTTAATAATCATAGATAGTCATAGGTATAATCTACAAAACAAAAAACTCTTTGAGGTTTTCCATATTGTCCAAAGTGAAAATAGATCCTGAGACCAAAATGCCTTCTTGGTGAAAAATATTTGGAACAAGTTACGCCATCACCTTCAGGATCTCCTCAGTCAGTAATGCCCTGTGACATGGGGATTGAAGAACTGTTTCTAAGACAGGGGACATCTGTAGTTATCTGTCTCAGAAAGGGAGAAGAGGAAGGGAAAATGCCCTAAAAATAATGGAGAAAAATAATAAGAAAGAGACTTAAGCTACCAGAAATCTTCACAAGGCAGCAAAATATGTCACATTTCTCCTTTGCTCAAAAGTGCTACATTTTTAAGAGTTCAAACATCTTTTATGTGCCATATTCCTAGTTGATTTCCCAGCAATGAACTATATTTTTAGCTTGTTAAATATCATAGACAAAGGAAAACAAACAATAGAGAAATTTAATAAGGCAAAAAGGTAGTTCTTTATAGAAGACAACAAAATTGATAAGCCCATTGCTAGATTTATCAACAAAAAAGGAAAGAAAACATAAATTACCAAAATCAAGAATGAAAGGAATTCATCAAAGATTCTCCAGACTATAAAGAAATAAATAGTATAAACAACTTTATGCTGACAAAGTTGACAAACCTCATGAAGCCTCCTTGCCAAGACTGATGAGAGATCAAACAGAAATTTTAAATGACTCTCTAAAGTAAATTGAAATTGTTATCGAAAATCTTCCACAAAGAAAAGTCCAAATAGTTTCACTGGTAAAGTCTATAAAACATTTAGGAATAAATATCACTAATCTTATGCAAATTCCTTCAGAAAATAAAGAAGAACACACTTTAGAGTATTTGCTGGTGAATTAGATTTGAGAACTGAGAGAGAAAAAAAGAAATTAATGATGATATATAATTTCGGCCTGTGCAAACTGGATGAATTTGAGGCACCTACTAGGATGGGGGAGGAACAGATGTCTGGGAAGGAGAAAAGATATATTAATAGCAACATTTAGGACATTTAAACTTTGATACGCCAAGTGTGCATGCCAAGTCTGCAATTGGATATATGAGTCCAGAGATCTGAGGAGCAGTGGAGGACGAAGGCTATAAATATGGGATTTACCAGCATATAAAGCCATGACTAGTATTACCTGGAGACTGAATATGGATGGAGAAGAGAAGGTGACACCTCACCAAATAACAAGGAGTGTGTGGAGATGAAAACAGTGGTCTTTGCTGTTAATTGTAACTAAGTGGGCAAGTACCATTGAATTTGGCTATATGAACATCATTGTTGACCTTTACAAGTGCAGATTTAGAAGGGAGTTAAAGAGGAGAGAGAGTCTTCTTGGAGTGGGTTGAGAAGAAAAAGCAGAGACAGAAAACAGAAACAACTTTTTCAATAGGTTTTTTTGTAAAAGAATGGAAAGAAATTTATTAGTAGATTGTAGATATGATGGTCAAGAGAGGGTTTTTTGGTTTTTTTAAAAATGTAATTTTGGTGGTGAAAAATCAATAGAGAGGAATACATTGGTGATGTTGGAGGACTGGGCTGAACTGTGTGAGCTAAGCCCTTGAGAATGGAAGAAGAATAAGCAAAGGAGTTGCAGGAAGGGCAGAGTGTATGGGCACAGACACGGGTTTCTGGTTTGCCGGTGGAAGGAGAGTATTCCTAACAGAGGGCCTCAGTGTTCTTTGTGAGACACACCTCAGTGTTCTTTGCGAGATAGCTGATGAATGGAAGAGAGGAGGAGAGACAGACAGAGGCATCAAATTTTCACGTTGGAGAGGGGAAAAGGGAATCCTTCAGGGAGATGTCAGGATTGTAGGCAGTGTTGAGTAGTCAATTAAGAAATATTGTGAAATTAAAGTGAAACTAGTTAGCTGAGTTGTGTATTTCTTTTCCAGCAATGTTACTTTAACTAGGAGTAGTTGGATAGTTAAACAAGGTCACAGAATTGTCAGAACAAACACATTTGACAGAGTAAGAATCAGGGAGGTTAAGAATTTTTGCACAATGACCTATTTTTCCTCACATCATCAGTGTAGAGCAATTACTAGAGACTTTTTGCTTCAGGTCCACTGCTAAATGATGTACGAAAGGGGTCCATTTTTCTAGAGATTGTAGCCATCTGTCCATGACCTCCACAGTTTTCAGGGAATCCATCATTCAAGGGAATGGTAGTGGCCCAGTGCCCTGAAAATTCTCCTTGGTTTGGGATTCTGCCTTCTTGTATTTTTGGTAGCCATCTGACCATGAACACCATCTCATGTATTTCATCCCTTAGTGCGATATTGAGAACTTATCTCTCACCCTGCACAAGTGAAAACTTGGTTGATACACACTTCTTGAGCCTTGCAGAATTCCTGTCCCTCACTGCAGAGTACAAGAGAGAGTTGACCCTGATCAACTCCTGGTGACAGGAATCAGTGTGACAAAATTTCAGACACAGAAGATTTGATAGGAGCTAGAGCATCGTGACCAAGAAAGTAAATAATGTTGTCCTCATCCAATCTACTTATCCTTTAAGAGGCTTACTGTGGTGTTATTACACTCCTGACCCATAAACCAGCACAAGATGAATTCTGTGCAGGCTGATCTATCTTTAGAGCTCACTGGAGTTCCTGGCTCTTCTCCTAAAGTTCATCATGTGAAATGCTTCAGTCATCATTGACAATGTTATCACCTAACATTCACATGAGCTTTGCCTAACACAGACACTTAAAAATATAGTACTGGGCTCTAAGATCAGTTGCTCAGGATTGAAAATCTATTTCAAAAGACAGGTGTCTGCACATCTAATTAGTTTTCTTCCATTAGATCGTTCAAAGATTGGTAATTATAAGTAACAATATTTATAGTGGCTAATATTTATTCAGCACCATCCTAAACATTTGATTTGGCTAACTCATTTAATCCTCACAACAACCTTAGGTAATGGGCACAATTATTATTCCCAATTTAATAGTGAGAAAATGGAGTCACTGAGTAAGTAACCTATTTAAGGTGAAGAAAAAATATCAGAGCTACAATATGAACACTTGCACTGTGGCTCCAGGAGCTCATAATAACCACACATCATTCCTATAATTTACTAGGCTTAAGTAATAAATGGTTTATTTATTAAATATTGTCATCTTGTTTCTTTAAAGTTTTATTTTAGATTGTTCTATATTTAAAATATTATAGCTCTGATCATTTACCTCGAGGAGCTGTATTTGCATGAAAGAAATCAGATTCGCTAACCTAATACAATTCTTTAAATCCTCTTTCTTATAGTGAGAAAAAAATGTAAGCTTGAATCATATGAACTTGCTTTTGTTTTACACTTTTGAATCACCAAAATGACAATTTTGTATGATTCAACTTACACAGATACAAAGGAAAAGCTACCAACTCATATTCAGTCTAACTCTCTGCTTTATGTCAGTGTCATAAAGGTTTTCACTGTCATTCATGATCTCTTTTCTGGTCTCCCTTGTGTCAGGAATGAACAGCACTCCTTGGGAAAAGAGCGAGTCAAACCTGGGGGCATAGATAGATGGTGACTGAGGAAGAGAATCATTTCTTCTAGAATGGCACTTGGCCCAAGATGTCTGAAGACTCCTGACCTTGGCCTCACTTGCCCTATGAGCTCTTCAGTCCAAGTTCTGAATAATATGAGATGTGACTTGCCTCAGGAAGTAGGAGCAATCCAAGCCTTTATTATCTTACTGTTTTTTCAAAAAACCTCATCTGGAAGCCTAACAGCAAAGTAGTTTGCCTTTCTGATTGAAAAGTTAATTAATGATAATGGTTCCAGGGATACTGTCAGACACCCAGGAATCTTAACACCTACAATGTGTTAAATTCCTCATTTCTCCCACAGGATTTTTCAGTGCTAAAAACAGCATCAATACCAGTATTCTTGGCAAAACCATTGCTAATTGACAATCAGAGGAATTCAACTAATGTGTTTACTGAGTGTGAACAAGAAAGATTGTCACATCCAGAATTTCCAAAATAGCTTTCTTTCTTTAGAATGTGTGTATCTTCCCAAGACAAGCAGCAGTTTTCTCACGTGTTTTTAGCTTGTGTCATTGGCCACAGCTGAGTCAGAACAGAGGTGACTTTTGTGCTATTGCCAGTGCCATTTTCTGTATTTGGTAAGTGTAGCAGTCTGGATGTCCTCACCACATAAAAAGGTTGACAGAATGGCCATTTTTAAATGTGCCCAGCAAGCCTATAGAAGCCATGAGAGGTGGCACCCAAAGGATAAATGGTCGGATCAGGGTACAGGAAGTGGTTATCGTCAACACAAACCATTCTTCCTGTCAGCAAGATATCAATAACATGTCTTTTGCTGGGAGGTGATATGTTTTGTAGGTACAAGTAAGAGAATATAATTTCCATCCACTTCAGAAAGAGATAAGCATGAACACCTAAAAAATCACAGACTAATATGAAGCAGACTCTAGAATAACTAATGAGACTTGGTTTTATAACCTCCTCCTCCCAAATTTCCAACACTGTTGAACGAAACCGATGCCATTAAACAGGAAGATGTATAAACTTATAAGCATATTGGAAGCCATCAACCATGGTTATATTAATATTTTATACTGTAAAAATTGTCTGGAGCTAGAGTGACAAAAACAAAAAAGGAAAGAAGCTACTAAAAGCTGGAAAAGTTGCAAGTGTTTTTTCATAATGCTGAAAATAATATTGCTCTTGGCAGGATCTTGAAGATCATATAATCCAATTGTCTTCTTTTGCCAAATAAGAAAAATGAACCAAGAAGATCTAAGCAACATGTATTTCAAAAGAGTATTTTATTAGCATTCAATAAAACTTTTAAGTTTCTTTAAAACTTTTTAAATTATTTTGCTTCTGTCAAGATTACAGAATGTCTGCACTACTAAATATTGATTGAAAATTGAAGACTCCTAGCTCTATTTAATATATGAAAGCCAGTGAAGTATACTCTATGTACTTTCCTGGCAAATGAAAGACGTACATCTACCATTTATGTCCCACCTTCTTCAGATATCTCAATTAGGAAAGATGTCAACAAAAAGATAGATATTAAGACAGTTTGTTATAGAAAAAATAAGTGATTCTGAGATTAGAAGAGTTGGATTCCCCAAAGTTACAAGCTGTTATATGTAAGGTAAAATTCTTTCTAAGCCCCACTTTGCTCAATTGTAAAAGATACTCAATACTTCCTGGTCTGCCACAAAGTTCGTCAATGCCATATTTAAGCCTTGAGCTGAATTATTCCCAACACACAATTGTGTGCATATTTAAATCATACCTATGTAAGTATATTGAGCAAAAATATTATTTTTGTTCAAAATTATATTTCAAATAGCAAAATTGAATTATACAAATATTGTATAAAAGTAATATAAAAGTAATTCACAGGATTGGTTATGACTTTAAATAAGATGCTGGTACAAAATATTATATAAAATATATGATAAATCTTTGATATATTTTATTCATTTATTAATATATACAAAAATATTTAGTATCTACTCTGTGTAAATCTACTTCTGTGGTGGTTTTTTTTTGAGTAAGAGAACACAGAATTTTAACAATTCCTATTCTGAGAATATATTAGTACAAATGTCTTTGATAAGTTGGGAAAAAAAGGTACTATTATAGTTGAACTGCCAGGCTACTCTTAGAGTGGTTGGCAAATGCTCAGATGAGCCTCATGCAAAATGGAGAGTCCATGCCAGCTGGTACATAAGAAGAAACTGATAAAAACTATATTGTCCCAAATGGACGTATCCTAGACTAAAAGGAAGGAATGAAAGAACGAAAGAAGGAAGTGAGAAGGGAAGGGAAGGAAAGGGAAGGGAAGGGAAATATATTTGCTAATGTTTTTTGGTGACATTTCTCTGTTATTAACTCATTCTTAAATCAATTCCTCTCATCCATCTCCCACCCAATACAATACTGTTCCTCTTTCTGTTGTCTAGATACCACGAGAATTCAAACTACATTTGGAATCCTTCCAGGCTTGTCCTCATCACAGAGTTTTCTCATAAGGGGCACTCAAAAAATACAATTATATTGATAAACTGGTGAATTAGTAAATAAATGAATAGAATGACTTAAAAGTCAGGCTTTAACTATTCCTGTTATTTATATAAATTTGATTATCAAGTAGCTCCCTATCAGAAATAACTTCCCTGGAAAATGGGTGTGTTCTCTCCCTGTGGCTGGCAGACAAGAGTTTATCCACACTTTTAAATCTTCCTTGCACCATGCCCTTTTATACTGCCCCTTCTAGGACAACAGTAGGGTTAACAGTCACGTAATACAACCAGATTTATGTAGGTAAAAAATTCCTTCTAGAGCATCTTTGAGAAATTATTAGTCAGCCTCTTCTTGAACACTTGTTTCGGTAAGACTTACTCTTTAACAAAGCATTATATCCCACTTTTGGTCAACTCTGATTAATAGGACATGACTCCTTATATTGAACCCAAATCTTCTTTTCCTTTTATTGTTAACCTCATGATACTAATATTATATTATCCAGTAGCATACAACAAGCTCCTCCTTCATGATACTCATATTATTTGGAATTTACTATTATTTCTTCTCTTAGTCTTTGCTTCTACATACTAACCATCCCCAATTCTTCCAAACTCATCCAGTTTTCCTCTTAAAATGTGACCAGTAACTGTAAAAACTGGACAGGAAAGATTGAATCCATCAATAATGAGGTCTTAGCAGTCATACAGAAAAGTTATTTGCTAAACTAATTTCATAGCAGAAATGTAAATAATGATAACTTCTTATATTTGCCACTCAAATATTTTTAAAGAAATACTGTCTTTTGTGATCTTAGTAAAACCCTGATGCAGGTATGGCTGACATTATTATTATTTCCAACCATAGTTCATGTTCCTCCCACACATTATAGAAGTTTTTGTTCTCAAGACTTACTGAAAACATCTTTATGTGGAATCTCATCCAGCCTCTAATTCCTCAGCACTTCTTTACCCAAGGAAGTCAATTGCTAATTTCTGACTTCCAAGCTGTATGACTGATGGTTAAGAAGGGTGTGTATGTGCAGGTGTATGTTTCATAAGGAATGTTTGATGATAATGCATTTATATGCCCCTTCAATTACAGGCATAGGTAGCATATCATCAAACTAGATGTTATAACAATAAATGACGCACAATATATTGAAAAAGCCAACAAGCTAGTTGTTATGAGATTGGGCACATTAAATAGTCACATTAGGTATTTGGAAGCATCATTGGGGAACATGGTAAAGGATACCTAAATATTCAATGTTATTTCCATCTAGATAATCAACAGCCAGAAACAACCCGAGTCTTGGGAAGCTGACTTAACTTTTAGCAGAATGGTTCAAATTATATTAAATTGTAAAAATAACTATAAAAAACATAGAACATTCTTTCACTTTTACTATAAGGTAATCATTAAAAATAGTACTGTCTATGACTATTAGAAATGTAGTTGCTTTAGTTAGTCTTTGAATTTTAGGCTGTCATACACAAGTGTTACTTCTTCATACGGTCTCTCGAGGAAATCCTATTCTGAACAGAAAGGTCATTAATTTAAGGATGATGGTCAGTAATTTAAATACAAGCTAGCACAGAGTGTATAAAAAGAATTCAGTAATGGCATTAAATACTATTCTTATAACAATAATCTCACTCAGTAAAGGCATTCTTTACTTGGCTGATTAAAAAATCTTTGCACTTTTAGAGGAATTGATTAAAACACTTGAACTTTCTTATAAAATTTACTATCAAATCTATTGAATTACATCTTTGTTTTTTGTGCCTTTAGCATACAATTTGCTACTTAATTCTTGGAATCATGACAGACACTGTGTTTTTAACTGAATGCAGAATATTCTGATTATATGTAACAAATATTTTAGGAAAGATTGTCTTCTCACTCATTTAAATTGCATGGAATTCCCATTGCCTTGTGATTTTGACCTTTGTAACATCTCACTCTGAGTTAGAAGCCTTGTCTGTGACACCTACTAAATTGATGACTTTGGTTAAACTATTTGGCATCTCTGAAAGCAGGTATCATCTCTCGAATAAGGATGATATCAAAGGGTTATTTGGGAGAATTAAGTGAAATAATGTATGTCAAGCATTCAGCATAATGTTTGGCTTCTCATACACACTCAATGACAGTTTTTATTATCTATTAATAATGCATTTTGGCATCATACATTATGAGATCATTGCCTTTATCCTCTTTACAACTGTTTTTCACAGCAATTTTGGGGTATAATAAAAAGAGAAATGCACTGTCACGGTAGCATTGTGTTCACATTCATATTCATTAAAATGTGCCTGGCTATAATTCTGCTGTAAGTCCATACCATCCCTCCCTATTAATTTTATAAATAATTTTAATAACCTGTTTTGGCTTTTTTACCTGTGACAAACCTAGCTTGTTCAATGCTGTGCCATGATCCAGCCACTTCCTCATAGGCCTGAGCTTGGCCAAGCTAAAGTGTTACACTTGTGCCTTCATGACAGCTGTAATTTTTTTTTTCCAGAATGATCTCTACATGTCTCTTATTTTTAAGAATTAATACATAGGCTGGTTATTGAAGGTAGCCAGGTGGTTCCCTTTGTTGTTGAGCTTGCACGTCTATTTTTTGAAAAGGTACTTGACCACAATATCTTTTATAGTCTCCTTCCCACTCAAAATGAGTATTCTCTAATCTAAATATACAACTCGTCTTGTTTCTTTTTATCTCTTTTTAGTATTGTGATTTGTGTGACATGATTGTAAGGTCTATGGAGTAAGGGATAAGCCCTCCCCATTCTCATGTGCCACCTAATGCCCAAGGCTCAATAAATGTTTGTTGGATTGGTAATAAATTTGCTTCAGGAACCCAGGTCCTAACTAAAAAAAAAAAAATCTTTTAACAGTTCAGGCATATTTACTTTTCTTTTACACAGAATTCTTAAAAATACATGATATATCATTTATCAGCCTACAGAGGTACAATGAAATAAATTATCTCCCCCTGTACTATGAAGGAAAAGATGTCTTAAGGAACCAGTCAATTGGTATAAGACCAAAAAAAATCAAGTAACACATCCTGAACCTTTAAAAAGACAATAGTATTAGCCTATTCAAAATATTTAGTGTAGGGCCAACAAGTTTGAGTCATTTCTAAGCATTTCTGTAATCAGTCCCAACATGAGGCTTAACATTAAGCATAGAAGTATAGTGCTGGGGCTAAGCACAGAAATTTTGGGATCCAAATGCCTAGATTCGAACCCTGGCTTCTCTACCTAATGACTATACAACTTTGTGGATGTTGCTTTCTTTTTTCTGTCTGGGTTTTGGCTTCCCCATATTTAAAAAGATAATAATACCATAATGCCTATCACTCTTCGAAGATACTAGCCTCAATAAATGTTAGTTATTACTACGTGTGCTTAGTCTTCTATACCAAAATCACTTTAGACACTTTTGATTTAAGAAAATAGAAAAGTATAGACAGTATTTTAAAAGATTTTCATCTAAAAATGAATCAAAAAGAAAAAACAGATGTGAGAGAGGAAGTTTATGTTCATGTAAAACCTACTCTTTTTAAGCAGCTACTCCGTTCCAGCCACTACAATAGGAACTATGTCCAAATGTCTTCATCAAAAACAAAGGAAACTAAGGTCCAGATTTAATCTCCATCCATTTATTCAATCATTCAAGTAATTTTTATTGAGATTTTACTATTTACAAGACATTAACATCAGAAGTAGAGCCTGCATTAGATTTGGATCAACTTCTAGATGCGATCATTTATGTCAAAAATTCATTTAAGTATAATTATTTTCTAGACTAAATAAGTGATTCATTATTTTATATAAATGATTATCAAATATAAACTTTCAGTGTGATAAGTTGATGTATATAGAGTTACTGAACCATGACCAATAAATCTTCAAAGAATATCTACACATGGAAAACATAAGAAAGGAAAAAGTAAAAATAAACCTAACTATTTGAAATACACATTTTAAAATATACAGGTCAAATCTTACTAACACCCTCTCTAAAGGTGTCTAATTGTCTGTTAAGCCATGATTTTGTGGCATTAAATATTTCTTAAAATAGTATTAAGTATCCTCTGTAACCCTGAAAAATCTCAATGATTATTCAATAATTTTCTTTGTAATATTTTTCTAATACAATTTAACTATATAGAGCACAATTTTTTTTTTAGGAAAAGAATAATCATTCCCTTTTCATGTCTTTCCTATAAGCACTGGGTATTTTGCTGTTTGTTACCATCTTTACAATCATAAAATTTAGCAACTTTGGGGTCATATAGCAAAAGACTAGATCTTAATGTCATTTTAACATGGCATTTAATAAATATGATTTATTGGCTTACTTGCATTGACTTTCAAAGCTATAGTTACATTTCAGCTCTTGAAGGTTGCTTTGATTGAGCTGAATGTTTGAGATGTGATTCAAGTGGTTTCTTCCTCTAATTCCCACTGAGAGAGCAGTTTCCTGGCTTCAGTGCTCTCCTGGCAGAAAATGAATTCAAAAAAGAAAAATCTGGCTCCAAGGTTTTAAAATTTTATCCATATTCATTACTTTATCGTCTCATATCCAAACCATCACTGACACTGTGGTGGAAACCACAGTACCTTAGAAGTCAAGAATCCAAGATTCTGATACTGATCCTTTTGTTAGCTTTGTGGCCTTGGCTAAGGCATTTAACCACTGGGTAACTCAGTTCCTTTCTCATCATTTGGGTTATAACATATCCACCTTGCAAAGATAAGACAAATAAGATTAAGTCATGTTTATGAAAGGAGTTTGCAGTTTTTAAGATACATGATTACCTTGGTATGATTTGAGTTTGGGAAACTAAGTATAAATATCAAAAGTTATCCCTGAGTTTCCAATCCCAAATGAATTCAGAACCCATTTGTCTTTAGACCCTTTGCTAATTGAGTTGAAATAAGTGCCTTCTGGTTCCTTCCTAGCAGGAAGAACATAAAATTCTCCAGTTCATGAGACTACACTGATCCTAAGAATGTTCATTGATTAGTAAATCAAACAAGTGGTTCAGGATATGGTGATTCAAGAAAAATAACCTCCTGGTTATGCTGTACCCTAAACACCTCACTTTTGAGGTTGTGTATATATTTTTCTTTTTAACATGCCCTTTCCAGAAGTCAGCAATAGGCAGGTAATGGGCAGAGAGTGGATGTCTTCTAGGTCAACTTATCAGAGTGTTGAGTTTGTGTGGTTGCTGCAATCAGCTCCTACATGAGAATAGGACACACCTTAAGGTTCCTCAAACACATCATCACTTGAACTCTTCCAAACAGTATTCCAGATGGAGGCTGTACCCCATCAGTTTTTGAGGATCAAATCTGTCAGAATCAGTGCCTTCACCATTGTATCAGCACTACCCATGCCTCTTATCCTTACGAACTTTGTGGGATAAGAACTCTGCTGGAGTTATGTGTTCCCGCTTCCTGCTTAAGGCATTTAAGTAAGTGGGTCTTCAATGGAAACTATATGTCCAGATAGACACAGAGTGCGAGGCTTCAGGCAGACATAATGAAGCCTGTAACATTATAAATTGAAGGCTAACTCTGAAAAGTGATATTCAATTATATACAACCCCATACAGTGCTAACCGGTCCTCCATCCTCTCACCATACCCTCTTCATAGCACCTTAACAAGCTTTTCAATCGCAATTCTCTTCACCAGAGCTCACACTCCAAACCTCAAAGTCTGACGTTTTCTTTTCACCTCCAAATCTGGGAAGAACATTTGCAGAATTTCCCATTTATCTTTTTGTTTAAAATAGTATTTGTTTAGTGCTGTGTAGTTTACAGTGGTCTATATTGTTGAATTTGATTCATACAACAAACCAGTAAACTACCTATGGAAAAGATTATTTTGCTATTGTGGCTGTTGTATTATAGTTTATGTCCCATCTCTTTTTACAAACATTTGAAGTTATAGAAGTCTCAGCCACATTTTGTAGATGAAAAACTGAGACTCAGAAAGGGTAATTATAAAAAGAAGAAATAGATAATATCCAGGTCCCTAAACTATATATTCAAAGTTTTTCCTGCTAGAAGATGATCTGTTTTCTTTGTAATGGTCCTTATTGACATTATCTTCATCTCTGTTTACTTGTTCTAATTTAGCCAGCAATTCAGTTACTAAACTACAAATTTAAAAAATTATAAATATCTAACTTATTTATTTAATTCCCAGTCCCTGACACATATAATATTAAGATCAGATACAGCAAATAGCCAATGCTTTAGAGTAAGGTGATTTCAAAAACTTCAAATTAGCCTCATGAAGAGAATTTTTCCCTACAAAAAAGTGAGACCAAGAAAAAACAAGTAAAGACGTGTGACTTATTCAATCAAAATGAAAAAGAAGCCATAAGAAAGTTTAACTGATTAAAAAGAATATCTGGAATGTAGCCCCACTCTTTGAATGGGATTCATTTCCTACTGCTTATGAACTTCCAATTTAGTAGTCAGAAACCATGGGTTTATTTTACTGCATAATGTGAAGTTTACATTTTATTAGCACTTAAGTAGTCTAATTTAGAGACCAGTTACTTCTATATTTTTTTGTTTTTTGAGATGGAGTCTTGCTCTGTCGCCCAGGCTGGAGTGCAGTGGCGCCATCTCGGCTCACTGCAAGCTCCGCCTCCTGGGTTCAGGCCATTCTCCTGCCTCAGCCTCCCGAGTAGCTGGGACTACAGGCACCCGCCACCACACCCGGCTAATTTTTTCTATTTTTTAGTAGAGACGGGGTTTCACCGTGTTAGCCAGGATGGTCTCGATATGCTGACCTCGTGATCCGCCCGTCTTGGCCTCCCAAAGTGCTGGGATTACAGGCGTGAGCCACCGCCAGTTACTTCTGTTTTTTAAGTAGGGGATAGCAAATTACAGCATAGCTAAATAATTTTTTAAAACATTTTAGAGTTGTAAAAAAATGCATCAGAAAAATGACACACAAAATACTTGGATCTTTGCAGAAGATGTTTGCTGACCCCCACTTTAAAGGATTTGAACAGCCTTCTAGAATTGAGGAATATTTATTAAAATATCTGTAAAGAGTGAATCACTGTAGCAATAGCTTTTTTTTTTTTTTTTTTTTTTTTTTTTTGAGATGGAGTCTTGCTCTGTCGCCCAGGCTGGAGTGCAGTGGCGCGATCTCTGCTCACTGCAAGCCCCGCCTCCCAGGTTCACGCCATTCTCCTGCCTCAGCCTCCCGAGTAGCTGGGACTACAGGCGCCTGGCACCACGCCCAGCTAATTTTTTGTATTTTTAGTGGAGACGGGGTTTCACCGTGTTAGCCAGGATGGTCTCGATCTCCCGACCTCATGACCTGCCCGCCTCGGCCTCCCAAATTGCTGGGATTACAGGCGTGAGCCACCGCGCCCGGCCGGTAGCAATAGTTTTAATTAAGATCTTAAAATCATACAAAAAGAATTACAACATGTTATGAATTTTTAAATGACAGGTATTGCAACTGTTCTTTGTGCAAAATACTGAGTAACTACTGGGAAAATATTTCAGATGAAAGGAATGACAAAGGCATGTTGCACTTTGCGTCAGCAAGGTATTGACATCTGAAAAAAATGATCTGAAAAAAAGGTTTCACCATTTGTCTTCTTACTTCATTTTAAGAAGTATGTGGAAATGGGATGCTATAGACCAGTGAGAATTTCAGAAATTGAAAACAATTTCATAATAAAACTGCTATATTTGAATATTTTGCATTTAAAGAGAGAATATATTTTATATAAACAGGAAAGTACGTTTGACACTTTAATTATGGAATTAACTTTTATGAGACTTTGTGGGAACAAAAGGTCTTCAAATTGTAAAATGTAAAGATTGCTCTTTTTTTAAGTCTTTAAAAGGGATACTTTTCATTGTATGTTTTGGGTATGGCTTTGGAATAAATTGTTTTATATTTTGCTTGAATATCAAAAAAAGATTAAGGTGACAAATGCAATAGACTTAAGCATTCATCATAAAATGGTAAATAATATTACCTCAGAAGTTATGCTGCTTTCTAACAGCTCTTGAGACAGATCTTCTCTCACTCACTCATTTTGTTGGAAGTACTTTAGTTCTTAGAATATCAGTTACAAGATTGTTCAACTCTAAGCACACAAAAAAAATCCAAGGCCAAAATATAAATTATGTCTCTGTTGCCTGTCTCATTGCTCCCTGGTGCTTTTTACTATTATTATTTTTATTCACATGTAATCTGATCTCAAGTATTCAAATATTTGTAATATTTCAAAACCATAATTTTCTATGAGAATAGGTAAGCCAAATATCTGTTAAAAATGTTTATTAAATGCCAGAAAAATATTATGCATGTTTCAAGACAGTATAAAACCAATTAAAGGAATACAGTTACATTCAAAATAACACAACTTTAACATTTAGTGGGATTTAAGAAAGATTGAACACTGTAGAAATTCCTTTAAATGTAAAGCTTTAAAAACATGAAGATAGAGGCCAGGCACAGTGGCTCACACCTGTAATCCCAGCAATTTGGGAGGCTGAGGCAGGGGATCCCTTGAGGTCAGGATTTCAAGACCAGGCTGGCCAACATGGTGAAACCCCTTCTCTACTAAAAATACAAAAATTAGCCAAGCGTTGCGGCTCACGCCTGCAGTCCCAGCTACTCGGGAGGCTGTGGCAGAAGAATCGCTTGAACCAAGGAGGTGGATGTTGCAGTGAGCCGAGATTGTGCCACTGTACTCCCGCCTGGGCAACAGCGAGACTCTGTCTCAGCAAACAAACAAACAAAAAAACCATTAAGATAATAAAAATAAATTATATCATTCAACTAAATTATGAGGTAGTTATTATTATCAGTAATAGACTGATACAATACAATACAAATGTAAATACAATAATTTACATTTGTACAAAATGTTATACTTTTCGAATCTTTTTTCATATCAGTTCATTATTTGCTGCCTATAATTTCCAGTCTTCAAATCTTGTTGACATTGATAATTCTCAATAATTATTGAAAATTTTAACTGTAGTCCTGATATATACAAAGAAGTTTAGGACAAAGAACTCCAGATTTCCTTAAAAAACTTCCAAAAGGAAATAATGAGAGATGGCATTTGGACAAGAATGAGAAGATATATTTTTTTGCTGTTTCATACAGAAAATGAAATGAATTTGTTTCATTACTTTCCGGTTTCATTTCATTTTTTTCCCACATACTTCTGGCTTATTATGTCCCGTTCCCTCTTCATGATTTTCACAAAGAAAGGAAAAATTGAAGAGCCTGTGTTTCCAGATATAGTAAATCACCATCATGAGGAATTTAAGTGATTGTCACCTATTGTCCTGGATTTTGATATTTTTTCCTTTTTCTATCTGTGTGTCCTTCAACACCTACCACACTTCCCCACATCTGCTAGTCTTTTCATTGGACAAATAGTAGCTGAGTCAGACAAAGACAAAAACTTCAGATTCATCAGCCATTTGCCATACATTGTGTACTAAATCCACTGATAATTGACATGCAGGTGTTTTTTATCCACATTTTTAAAGGAACAAACATATTATTTTCAAATAGACATTTTGCTAATAAAGAAACTGGCTCAGAGAAGAAAGAAATTATAAAGAAATTATATCATTGGTTAGAAAATTATATGGAAAGTCAAATCTCACTAAGTGTGGTATTTTGTGGTTTTGCTATAATGGAACAAGACAAAATGGTCTTCAATTGAGTTTCCACTTAACGTTTAATTTCTTATTACTAAGACATTGGATCTGTGTATAGGAAAATTCAGAGATAGAAAATTAGAAGCTGGATCAGTATCATTTATCCAAATGTGGAAAAAGAAAGGAAAGCCTAAAGAACTTTAGTTACATGACTATTAAACACTGGAGGAGTCAAAAATGGACAATGAAAAATAATGCTAATTTCTTACATTTTTAAATTTTATATCATTTATTCTATTTTAAATATTGAATAATGCCTCCTTGTTATGTATGATTTATGCTAAATTGTTTTTTGTTTACAAAGAAAAGAAAATGATCCTCTATTTAATAAGACCTTGAATTGGGGAACAGCCTACTTATTCTTCCAGCTATTTCTTATGACTGAAATTTATGACAGCTATTTCTTATGACTGAAACTATTGGTATAAAGAATATTGGTAAGATATTGGTTTGATCTTTGGAAGAGATTTTTTAAATATCACCAACTTTCCATTCAAAATAGAATCCTTGAGATCAAGTCAAAGGCCCACTTTGGTGGAGAATAATTTGGCGAATCAAAGATCAATCATTTGTTGGCCAATTTCAAGCTCAGGCACCAGAAGAACTTCAGGAAGGAAAAAAAGGCTTTTGCCTAGCATTTACCTTCACACAGGTTGTACATCTTGCCTGCAAATTAGTCTTTTTTTCCCCAACAGTCAATCCAGTATAGACTGACTTCTATCATGAGGGATTGGTTTATATGTATACATTTATCCTAGCACAAATGGAAAAAGTCCTGGAAGATGAAGGCATTGACGTGCATACATCCATCCATTCCAGCCACTATTAAGAAGATCTTTGAAGGTGCCAAGTGAGAGAAGGCATAGGCCTGACATTTATCTGTTGGTGATACTAACTTTAGACTCCAAATTCAGAAACTCCTATGGACTTTTTTATTAATGGCAAGGAGTCACACTATAGCATAATTACTTCTCAGGCTGTTTCTCATGATACAGAAGTTTCTGTCTGGCTTGTGTAACTATACACCTGAAAATATCCCGGATTTACTGCTTTTGGATGTCACATTTACCTAATGTTCTCTGATGTTGGAGCTGATGGTAATGTAATTGCTGCTATGATTTTGCAAACAACCTCAATATCCTCCCATTCCCCTAAACATACAAATATATATTACTTATTTAACCATCCTGATGTCTTTAAGTTTGTGAATATATAAAGGCAATACTCATGGATAAAAATTTGTAGGACAAACTTGAGCTTGCAGACATACAAAATTTAGTTTTGACCCTAATGCTAATGATATTCTTAAAATGTATGCCATTGAGAAAATTATAGGCAAAAATGACAACATTAGAATAACCTATGACAAAGGAAGATATTTAACACATGGTTCAAGAAGCTGAGAAATGGCCAGGCTTGGTGGCTCACGCCTGTAATCCCAGCACATTGGGAGGCCGAGGCGGGTGAATCATGAGGTCAGGAGATCGAGACCATCCTGGCTAAAACAGTGAAACCCCGTCTCTACTACAAAAAAAAAAAAAAAAAAATTTAGCTGGGCGTGGTGGCGGGCGCCTGTAGTCCCAGCTACTCAGGAGGCTGAGGCAGGAGAATGGCGTGAACCCAGGAGGCAGAGCTTGCAGTGAGCGGAGATGGCACTGCTGCACTCCAGCCGGGACGACATAGCAAGACTCCGTCTCAAAAAAAAAATAAAAAAGAAGCTGAGAAATACAAAGCAAATGATTCAAGGTGTCTCCCAGAAAACTCAATCAAATCCTTCTACAATGAGGCAACATTGGAGATAAAAAGTTCTCATTGATTATAAGTTATGATCACATGACTCTTAAGCTAACATATGACTCTTTGATCATTAGTTAGGTTATGATCAATAATAAATACAAGAAAACATTCTTATCCAATTGGTTGATTAAAGTTTAGTCTGTTGAGCAGAAAGAATGAGCACATCATCACAAAGAGATGGAGGATATCTGTAACTCCATCATTAGTACACTGCAAAAAGGCAGAAACAGGGGGTAGCCTGTAGCTTCCCCAGGGGTAAAGTAACTCTACCTGGAGGTGTCATTTCTAGACCCAACACCAAGGAGGAGGACAGAGCAGACAAAAACGCATATTCTATCAAGCTTGTAGCAAAGTCTGAAAGACCTACATTAGTCAATATAGTAGTCATTTAAGAATCTTATCTGAGATACCACTTCTAAGTACTCTGAATTATTGAATGTGAGTTTTGTCAGCATTCTAAATTGGTGGAGAATACAATTCATGTCTTTTAAAATAAAGACTTATTTAAGCTGGCACCATTAAACTTTCATGATAGGCTTTTGTTCTTTTTAGAGGACTTGTATTTAGGTTCAGTGTTCTAATGACAGGGGTAATGAATCTTTTTTTCATCTCACAGACTACCCTGTTGCCCAGTATCAAGGAAGAAACACAAAGCATGCTCTGGCTGAGTTTGGAGCTCTCAAACATTGTGAAAATTGGGGCGTTTCCTAGGGAGAAGGATAAGTAGCATTACATAATTAGATGTACTAAATTTTCTGCTTAGCAACAAATTTGTGTAAGCAAAAAAATGTATTCAGCTTGAGTTACTCTGATGAATACTATAGAGGCCCTTGGAAGCCTAGAAAATCTTTTAGCCACTTAGGGATGCTAATTTGCAAGGGACAGAAAAGCAATATGCTAATTTTAGTAAACAGCTATTCTTTGAACAAATATTCTGGAATACTGTGAAGGGACAAGAACGGGGAGTACATTGCCATTATTCTCAAAGAAACAAAATAGTTTTATCCCAATATTCTAATTAAATGGGGTTCTATGGAAATTTTACTTCATGGGCAGGGCTGATATTTTTCATAATGCTTATTTGGACATAAAGTCCTTATGCCTTTTTAGTCTGAGAGAGATTTAAAGATTTCTGTTTCCAAGGTAGTGTTTTCCCCCTTCTGAAAATATTTTTGGTGACCTACTTCAACTGGACTCTTTGGGAAAAAACAAAAACAAAAACAAAAAAAAGTTAGCAATCTCTGTTTCACAAACCTCTACCAGTTCAGAAATTTCACTGAAAGCATCTCTGACATCTGTCCCTTCTACTTCTGTCTGATATAAACAATGAGAAGAAATTTATTACCTAGAAAATGATGTCATTTGATTTTTGAACAGCTTTAATTGCTCTGAAGCTTTTCCTTACATTGACATTTTAAATCTGCCTCTCGTTATATTTCTGCCCACGGGTATTAGTTCTGCCAGTTGAAATAACAATATTAGTTTATTCTCTCTCCTATGCAACAATCCTCTGAATATTTAAAGACCATCATTATAATTTTCTTCTCCAGTTTTTATTAACTTCTTCTTCTTTTGCTTATATCACTTTGCATATAATATTTAAAAAATTTGTGATTATTTATGTACTTCTTTCATGCCTTAGGAAAATATATGTTTCTGAAATGCTGTTTAACTCCTCTTTGTGTGATTAGCAGAGTTTTTTTTGCACATAATAGGCATTCAACTTATTATGATAAGCCATGATTTAGCCTGTATTGAAATCTCAGTGGTGCAGCAAGAAGGTAAAACAGAATAAATTTGGTTATGAAACTGTGTTGCAGCAAGAAACGTAACTCAGATGTGGATATTAGGACCAGATGACATGCAGTGGACTGAAACAGTATGCACTCAGACAACTCCTAAGATAAAAAGGAACAAATGGAGGAATCACTTATGGTTACAGATCCTCAATCCGCACTGGTTGCTAGGACCACTGAACTGAGGGCATGCTTCCTTTGGTACAATTAATTTTGTGGGGCAGTACTGTATATTCCCTTATTCTATCATTGTCCCTGATATCTAGTCTTTCACATAGTTTATTTCTTAATTCTATTTAAAATATATAAGCACTCTCTGCTGAGATTGCTTGATCAGACTTAGTGGCCTGACATAGCTCTTTGCCCTATTACTATTTGACGGCAATAACTTCAAAACATATAAACAAAAAGTGCTTTAAAAACTCTAGTTCTATTTGAAAATCAGTTAATGTAGCTCACTATATCCACACAATTTTCCCTGTTAGGAAGGTCAATGGCATGGCTGTTAAAATTCCAGGATGGAAAAACACTGAGTCAGCATTTCTTCACCCTGATCACAGTGTTCCTTTGCCATCACAGAGAGGTTATAAAACAAGACAAATTCTTTTCCAGTTTGATTTGATGCCATACAGATTTGCTGGCATTATGTTTATTTCTCTGTAGAGAATTGCATCACAAACCTCAATGCAACAGGGCAAAACATTGAGAAAATAAACATTCAACTCGATTTAAGTTATGTAGTTGAAGTTCTGGGGGTGCATTACTCTCCATATTTTAAGTATGAAGTACTTAAAATGGAATACTCCATATTGAAGTATTATTCATAGAAGAAGAAAGTATATCTAATTCCCTTCAAATGTTTCAATTTTCATAAAGTCATAAACCCAGAAGGTACATTAGGAGTTGATCTCCTGAAATGTAAACTTTGGAACATCTTTGAACAATACCAGACAAAGGAGCATCAATAAGGAAAGATCATGACAGAATAGCCTACATTCCTCTCTTACTATTCACCAATTCCCTTTTTGTCTTTAAATCATGGCAGGTAAAACCATAAAGGACATTATGTATTTTCAAATTCGGAAAACATATGCTTTTTAGATTTAATAAAGTACAAAAACCCACATTAAAAAACTAAGGTTTTATTCCAAAATTTTAGTTGCTGTCTTCATTTTACAAGGATATAAAATACTTCATAGATATTCAGATCCCCAAGAATTAGAAGATTTGTATTGTATTTCTAGTTCTGCCATTGGTTTCAGACACACAATATTTCTATGTGCTTCAGCCCCCTCATGAGATGGAAAAAATGGATTTCCCCAAACAAATTAGGAATTTTTTCCCACTAAAGTTGTAAGCAACTTCCTGAGTGTGGACAACCCAAAATCCCTTTCTATCCAACTGTGGTGGTTTTCTTTATATTGAACTTAAAAAAAAGAATAAATTGACCTTATAAATTCACCTAAAATAATAGCTAAAGTATTATTTTCAACTTAAGAAGCTCTTCCCATCCTATTTGCAACTCCGAACAATCGTTCAAAATAGGCAGAAAAGGCATCACTTTTCTTTTCACAGACCAGATAACTGAGGATCAGGATGTTAAGCAAGATTTCCTAAGGCCACATTACAATTCTGATGCCTGGCCTAGTGCTCATTCTGCTGCAATATATTATTTATTTACCCATAAACCATACTTTTGAAAATTATTTTCTACTTGTCAAACACTATAGTGGCCTTTTTAGGGCATACAGACAAATTTAAGTTATGATCATCAACCTTGATAAATACTAATGTGATTGTATCCTGAATCCAAAGAGGAACGAACATAGCAGTATACGTACTGAATGAAAAGCAACAAAAATGAACTCTATTTACCCTACATACAAATTGTGAAATGATCTGTATGAGCTGAAGCATTCCAGAAATATTTCATGGCAGATGGTACCACTTAAAACTCAATATTTGGGCAGGTGAATGAAGTTAGGCGGCTTTCTGATTTGGAGAGGGGAAGTATTTGCTAAAACACACAGACAGAAATAGATGTGTGTTCCCAATATGCTAAAGATAGGAAGACACGGGTGTGCCTGAAGCAAAGCACAGCATTCTCTAGTGCTGAAAAAGAAAAAAAAGTTTGGTTAAATAGGGTAGGACAGCACCATTGAGGCCTTGAAAGTGTTGTCACAGAGTTTGTCTTTGAGGTAAATATTATAAAATGACAGTGCTCTAAAGTAAATGAAAGCTCTTGCGAAAGTTCTGTTTAAATAAAATTAGTCTGGCTAATTTTATGTGGACGTGGACGTGTATTCAATTCAAATTGTAGTCAGGGTGTTGTAGCACCTTAAGTTTACAAGGATTATCCTGGAATGGTAAGCCACGACAATGAGGAAGAAGGATTATCCTTTTTTTTTTAATGAGCAGATACTGTTAATAGACAGTAAACAAGAACAATTCAAAGTTTACTGTCTACTGTTAATAAAGAGTAAACAAGAATAGAGAGAGTATAGAAGGCATTGCATCTAGGTAACGAGAAGAATGAAAGCAAAAGGAGTGTCATGAAAAATATCATTGTAGTTAACAGCCACTCGCGTCAGATGTGAAAGAATTATGGACTGATAGAGAAAAAAAGTCAAAGTGCTAAAGAAACTACATCTCGGGATAATCTTTAAAAGTTCGAAATCATTTTCTCATTAACAATATGGGATTGAAAGCAAACATAAGCACAGACACATGAAGTGTATAGAGCTATAGCATAAAGCAGTTTAGTCCATATTATAAGTGTGGTAACATGATGAGTGGGATGTTTTTTGTTGCTCTTGAATTGGTGACTAAGACCCAAGTCTGAGTATAAAGAAATATCCAGGACTAAACAAACTACAGAAAAATGCAAGAATTGGAACCCCTCTCCAAGGGATAACTTAATCTTTTCTTGCCCTTAGTAATTGTGCATTGTCTGAATGTAGAGCATTTCATTTACCCATTTACTTACTGTAAGACATGCTTGTTGTGTGCCACTTTCTTTTTTTTTTAAGAGTCAGAGCCTCGTTTGAGGCTCACTGCAGGCTCAAAGTCCTAGGCTCAAGCATTTCTCCCACTTTCACCATCAGAGGAGCTAGGACTGCAAATGTGCACCACTACGACTGGCTAATTTTTTATTTTTTATTTTGTAGCCATGGGGTCTCACTATATTGCCCAGGCTGGTCTTGAACTGTTGGCCTCAAGTAATCCTTCAATCTCTTATGGCACTTATTTCTGTATCCTGAAATATTGCTATAATCGCTTATTGATTCAGTGATGGTCATGCTGTCAGCAAACAGTTTCATTTCTTTCTTTACAGTCTGTATACTTTTTATGTCGTTATCTTATCTCATTGAATTAGCTACAACTTCCAGTATGATGTTGAATAGTGGTGAGAGGCAACAAACATCCTTGTTTTGCTCCTGATTTTAATGGGAAAGCTTTGAGTTTCTTACCATTAAGTATAATGCTAGCTGTATGTTTTTCATAGATATTCTCAATCAAGCTGAGGAATACAGTAAACTCTATTCCTAGTTTGCTGAGAACTTCTGCTTTGAATGGGTGTTGCATTTTGTCAAATGCTTTTTCTGTGTCTATTGATATGATCATGTGATTTTTCTGGCATGTTAATGTGATGCATTGCATTAACTGATTTTCAAATGTTGAACTAGTTTGCATATTTAGAATAAATCTCACTTGGTCATGGCATATCATTCTTTTTACACATTGTTGAATTTGATTGCTAATATTTTGTTGAGGATTTTTGCACCTATGCTGATGAGAGATACTGGTTTATAGTTTTTATTTTCTGTAATGTCTTTGGCTGGTTTTGGTATTAGGGTAATGGTGGCCTAATAGAATGAGTTAGGAAGTATTCCTTCTATCAATATCTTCTGAGAGAAACTGTGGAAAATTGGTATAATTTTATCTGTAAATTTTGGTAGAATTCACCAATGAATCCATCTGGGCCTGTTGCTTTCTGTTTTGAAAAGTTATTATTAATTAGTGATTAAGTTTCTTTAATAGACATAGGCCTGTTCAGATTGCCTGTGTTTTCTTGTGTGAGTTTTGATATATAGGTTGTCTTTCAAGGAATTGGTCTATTTCATCCTGGTTATCAAATCTGTGGACATACCGTTGCTTGTAATATTCCTTTATTATCTGTATTGATGTCTCATCTTTCAGTTCTGATGTTAATAATTTGTTTTCTCTCTTGTTTTTCCTTTGATAGCCTGACTAAATAATTATTGATTTTATTTATTCTTCAAAGAACAATCTTGGGTGTCATCAATTTTTTTCTATTGATTCTCTGTTTCAATTTCATTTTTTCTGTCCTAATTTATTTCTTTTCTTCTACTTAATTTGATTTTTATTTGCCCTTTTTTTCTAGTTTCCTAAGGTGGACTCTTAGGTCATTTCTTTCAGGTCTTTCTTCTTTTTCTAATATACGTGTTCTGTGCATTTATTTCCCTCTAAGCACCGCTTTTGCAGCACCCCACAAATTTTGATAAGATGTATTTTCACTTTCATTTATTTCAAAGTATTTTTAATTTCTCTGAAAATGTTTTTCTTTGACCCATGTCTTATTTAAAAGTGTGTCTTTTAAACTGCACGTATTTGGGGATTTTTTTTTCATTTGTCTTTCTGCTTTTTGACATTCTAGTTTAATTCCATTTTTGTCTGACAGCAGACATTTCATGATTATTATTCTTTTAAATTTGTTAAAGTATGTTTTGTGGTCTAGAATGTGGTTTATATTGATGAATGTGCCATGTGAGCTTGAGAACAATGTATATTTTGCTATTACTGGATGAAGTAGGAGATGTCAATTATATCCAGTTGATTGATGGCGTTGTGGAGTTCAACTATGTCTCTTCTGATTTTCTGTCTGCTGGATCTGTCCATTACTGATAGAAGAGTGTTGAAGTTTCCCAATTTGATAGGGAATTTGTCTATTTTTCCTCATAATTCTGTCAGTTTTTGCCTAACATAGTTTGACATTCTGTTGTTAGATGCATACACATAAGGAATTGGCATGTCTTCTTGGATAATTGACCTCATACCACTTTGTAATGCCTTCTTTTGTCCCTGATAACCCTCCTTGCTTTGAAGTCTGCTCTGTCGGAAATTAGTATAACTGCTCCACCTTTTTTTGGTGGGGGGGTCTCACTCCGTTACCTAGGCTGGAGTGCAGTGGTGTGATCACAGCTCACTGCAGCCTCAACCCTCCCAGGCTCAAGTGACCCTTCCATCTCAGCCTCCCAAGTAGCTGGGACTGCAGTCACATGCCACCATGCCCAGGTAATTTTAAAATATTTTGCCCAGGCTGATCTCAAACTGGGCTCAAGTGATCCTCCCACTTCAGCTTCCCAAAGTGCTGGGGATTACGGGTGTGAACCACTGCACACAGCCCTGCTTTGTTTTTTATTAGAGTTAGTATGCTGTATTTTTCTCCATCAACTTACTTTTTATTTTTTTATTTTTTTTTGAGACAGAGTCTTGATCTGTCGCCCAGGCTAGACTGCAATGGCGCGATCTCGGCTTACTGCAACCTTTGCCAGGCCACCTCCTCCTCCTTTTTTTTTTTTTCTAAACGAGAAAAACAAAAAGGCAGAGAAGAAAGTATGAAATAACAGACAACAACATTTCTTCAATTTAATTCCCTCTGACAAAGCTTCTAGACATAAGTAAAAAAAAAAAAAAGGGAGAGATGAACATTAAGAAGATGAAATGGAAGCTTTTAAAAAAGACAGATTTTTATACTTGAAAGTGACCACAAAGATATAGAATCTGACCAAGATATTCTTTAAAAAGGTTGAATGAGTCAATAGAAACATGGTTGAAGGCAGTGATTGGGAAATCAATGAAAGCTTCATGGTGGTTTACCACAGTTCAGACTTCAATCAACCAAATTCACAATGGCTTAAGTATGTGGACTATTTTATTAAATATTTGATACTCATAAAATCGGTTCTGATTTTGTATTTATAAATAGAAAATATATTGGAGGCTTTTTTGGAAAAAAATTCAAGTAAACACAACTTGTAAAATGGGAATAGCTATCTCCAGAATGAGTAAAATTCATTATATAAATAAGAACCCCAGTAAACTCCAAACTACACAATAGAATTTGAACTTAGGTACTTTTGGGGGGTGGGAGGGAACATTTTGTTATAAAATGCTTTTTTAAAAAAAAACTGTCTATAGCTCAATTTAGATAAAATGTTAGTTTTATAAAAAATAGTAAACTAGCTTTAATAGAACTTATGAGTCTACAGTAAACAGACATATTATGAGAAAATAAAATAAGAAAGAGCAAAAGCTTATGCTAAAATAAATTTTCTTTCTACGTGGGAATGCCAAGCAGTAGCTTATTCTAGATTCAGTGAAATACTCATGCTTCCTAAATGAGACTAACAAAATACTGGCTCTTATCAAGCTAATATTTATAATTTATGGAAAAGAATTTCAAAACTGCATTCTTCCTAATGTCAGTATTCCTAGAGTGTCTGTAAGGGTTCTCTCACAGCATATATGGCCACAGAAGATCACTTAACTGAAGTTGTTTGTTCCAACAAACAGCCCACCCCCACACTAAAGCATTAAAAAAAAAAAAAACCCTTAGAAGTAGTTATATACTTAAACTGCTGTGCTTTAGATAAAGTTAGACATCAGGAAATGAATTAAATACTCAGGTTTTTATATAAGTAAGTGATGATTCATATTGTGAATCTACACGATGACTTGTATTTGACTGACATCCTTGGAAATTAAATTTTAATATAATACAAGGATTTACAGCCTGACTGCCTTTATTTAGCACATGAAGCAGTAAGAGACAGGAACATAAAATGTTCAAGTCAGTTAAGAGTATGTGTCATTACTTCCCAGTCTTGTCATTTGTTATTTCTGTAACACATATTTTTTATTCTAAGTATTCATTCGAACCCAACATCATCTTCCCTATAGATGGGAAAATGTTTGGTATTGACTTGCTGTAAGATGAGAATTCTCTGCACCAAGTTCTCACAGCAGCAGTCCAGTCCTCCTTCTCCTCCTGAATGTGCCCTGAAATAATTCCAGTTGATTGGAAATACTTGCCAGCAATTTTTGAAGTGTTTTTTCAGCTTGTTGTTAAGAGCCTTCACACCACAGCCCCAAACTTTAATTTCCTCCATTTAAGAAGAAATGGCCATCCAGTCGTCTTTCAGCTGCTGAGGCCTGAAGAAGTTATCTTTCACTGCAGATAACCCTGAGTTCTGGTATGTTCTTCATTAATGAAATCAATCACCAAGAATATAAAAATGAGATAGCTCAATGTGACCTGACAGATAGTGTCCAGAAACATAAGCCAATTGAAATCTGAAAAGCCTTGAGGAATTAAAACGTATTCCATACATTCGTTTAGCTTCCCACTGCAGGTTTTCCCCCAAGATTTGTATCATCTTTTAGTCTTACTGCCTCATCTACAGCCTGTATGTATTCAAAGAAAATAGAACTATATGGAATACGATGCCCTAAAACATAATGCACTTAAAATCACAATCCAATGACAGAAAGGCTTTGAAATAAGAATCCAATGAATAAAATTTCCTACGCTTTTCCAAATTGATAAAACCTTTTGTAAGTGATGAATAACTTATTGATTTAAATTTCCATTATTTTGGCACTTAGACTAAAGTTACGGTATGATTTACTAAAAACACATTTTAGGATGATAAAATTTCATGTCTATCAAGTTTCTGTGTTGCAGCTTGGGAAATGACATTTTAGCTCTTCACTGTGTTACCACCCTGGTATTATAACAAAGTTCTATAAATTTCATTGTCAAAGTTCCAATTCTCTTAATTAAGTATAGCTTTAAGACCTCAAAATGACATTGGAAAATCTTTGCATAATATTGGAAACTCAGGTACACTTAATTTTTTTTTTAACTTTTAAGTTCAGGGGTACAAATTTTGCATCAGTCTTCACATTTATTATATCATTTAACAATATATTTTAAATGGCAAAAATCTACAGAAATGGCTAATTCTGCCCATTGTGACTGAGATAATTTATGAGGAGCATGAAAATTCCCAAAAGATATAACATTTCCAAACAGGTAAAGTATGATTATCCCACACCTTCATACCAATTCCCCCATTCTAGGAGGCAGAAAAGTTTCTTTGAATTTATTTCAGAGGCAAAAATAGAGTCTGCATGATGTCAGCAGGCCTTCTCCCCAGCAGTCTTTGTGTAACTTCAATATGACAAAGGAGATAAATTGATCTCGTTGTGTTACTGACAATTAGACAGGAAACAGTAACTATGCCCTCTTTGGTATTTCAAGCAGCTTCCCTTCCTAGTCTGCATTTCCAGGCTTAGCTCCAAGGAGACAAAGATTTTCCTTTTCACAAGAGAGCCTATCCAACATCAGGGACATCAGTTCAAACCTCTCCCTACAATGATTTTTTTCTAGTGGCAACGTATCTTTAATCCTTCATTATGAGTCCTATCTATAGTACTAGCATTTGAATGTAAGTTCCGTATGACATTAAATTGTGATTAACTCCTCCATCAGTCTTGCCAAAATTCCATGAAGCAGTATTTTCAGGAATTCCGATCAGTCCTTGATATTAAGTTTTCAAATTGTACCACCTCTCTTTTTCATAATGATATTGAATTTAATCAGCACTCTTCTACACACTGTACTTTGTGATGTTCATTTTAATCTCTGGAGGAGTTTCTTCCAGATTTTCAATGTGTTTATCATTTCCCATAACTTAAAAGTCCAACTTTGCTATTTTAGGCAAGAATGCTTAAAATTTTCCCTCCAGCGAGGTCATGGAGTTATATAGTTACTTTTCTGGAAATAATTTCCCAAAACAAACCCTTCATGTGGAATCCAGAGTTCTTGACAGTGTCATTTTCCTTCTAACCTGGCTGCTGTTTAGATGTTGTTATAGAAAAATAAGTATTAATGCATCTGAAACCAATGCTAAAAGTGTCCCTCCTGTGAATCATGTACTCTATCTGTGCTTGCCTGATGAAAAGCTGAATGAAAAGTGGAAAATATACTGAAGAATTCAGATGTGTGTCTATTGTTAGAACCAAATGTGATTTGAATGTGATTTTCAAAAAACTGGGCTTTGATTTAGCTAACATAACCAGATGATGGGCTAGGAAATCAGTCTTCCACATGATGACAATCAACTTCGAGTTTCCAAGAAAAGAAAAAGGAATAAATTTGGAGAACAGGAGAGTTTCCATTTTTCAGTAATCAATGAAACCTCATTTTTAAAAAAGTAAACAATATATGTATATAACAATTTGATTTATTTTGATCAGCTTTATTGAGTTATAATTTATATAAAATATAGTTCACCCATTTTAAATGTGCTATTAGATAAGTTTTGAGAACTATATGCAGTTCATAACACGCACTACAATTACAATATAGAAAACTTCTATCACCCTAAAAAGTTTCCTTGTGCCCCTTTACAGTTTATCTTCTTCCCCCCCCAACCCTGGCTCCCAGAAACCACTGATTTGCTTTCTGTCACTATTATTTTGGATTTTCTAAATTTTCATGTAAATGAAATAATACAGTATGTATTCTTCTGTTTCTATTATCTTTCACTTAACAGAGTGCATTTGAAATTAATCCATGTTGTTGAAATTATCTGTAGTTTGTTCCTTTTTTTTGCTGACTCGTATTCCATTAGTTTGCTTTCCCAGTTCTTCACTTCCTAAATCAGAATTAATTTAATTCCAGAAGAGCTGATAGTGAAAATATGTTTTCCCATTGTGAAAACCCCACCCCTACCCACAAGGATGTAGCCTGATGTCATGAACTCTTAGAGATGGAAACATGGTTGGCTTCAGATCCTTCCTGTGCTCTGGGCTGACCTCTGCAGGTGGTGCTTCCCTGGCTCCATGTCAATTGACTTCTGGCCAATGAGAGGCAAGGCACTGGAGGGCCAGGGGAAGGGAGTAACCCTAGTATTTTTCTCTCCATCCTTTGCTTTGGTCAGCTTTTTTGAAAAAGGCTGTATTTCCTCTTTGGCTTCAGCTAGCAACAGACAAGCCTATCACGGTTCCAGTTTCCATTGAGTCAAACAAGCTCCTAGACTCCCATAACACCAGCTTATTTTGTTCCTTTGGCTTTCAAGTCTAGTTAATGAACACTTCTGTCCTGCTAGTTTCTGGGTCTTCTCTGTTTCTTGTTTGGCTCTCATTTCCACCCTCACCTATGTAACCAGTTCCCTGCCTAAATTTCCTCTGTTGTCACTACTTAGGTATTCTATTTTCCTGGTTGGCCCTGATTACATTTAACAAAGTTTAAGGTACTTGATATTATCCATGGTCGCACAATAACATGTAACCAAAACTTATTTAATTCTCATACTCATGCTGAAGCATAATTATTATTCCCATTTATACATAAAGAAATGAAGCCTAGAAAAATTATGTATCCATCATGTAGAAGGTCACAGTGCTAATAAGTAACAGAGGTTAAGGTGACAAAAGGTTGAGAATAGTCTGAAAGAGCCAATAATGAGCATGGAGAAGTGCTGAGTAGGCTGTATGGTTAGCAGAAGTTAGGAAAGTTTATATATTCTTGAATAATAGTGTAAAAGTATTCTGTAGGCCAGGCGCGGTGGCTCATGCCTGTAATCCCAGCACTTTGGGAGGCCGAGCCGGGTGGATCACGAGGTCAGGAGATCGAGACCATCCTGGCTAACACGGTGAAACCCTGTTTCTACTAAAAATACAAAAAATTAGCCCGGCGTGCTGGCGGGCGCCTGTAGTCCCAGCTACTCGGGAAGCTGAGGCAGGAGAATTGCGTGAACCTCGGGAGGCAGAGGTTGGAGTGAGCCGAGATTGCGCCACTGTACTCCAACCTGGCCAACAGAGCGAGACTCCGTCTCAAAAACAAAACAAAACAAGAAAAAGAGTGTAAAAGTATTTTGTAATCTGTTCCACAGAAATGCAAACTATTTCTGATCCTCTTTTCTGATAAAATTCAATTTCCCAGATCAATAACCATAAATAATGTACCCAAATTTGTCTTAATCTCCTCTAGCAACAACATCATATCTGGCACAACTAAAATCGGGTCTCTTACTTGGTTGAGTTTGTGGTAGTCTATTATCTTCCTCCAGGATCCATCAGCTTATTGCAAGGGCCAGACTCGTAAAGTAAATAGAAATATAATGGAAAGTTTATATATTCTTGAATAATATAGGAATAATGCAGGATGCTGCATTTTGTATGTCTTTAAGGGTGATGCTAATTGCTGCCATTCCTCTTCAGATTAAATACAGTGATTGATTTACTATTCGCTCAAAGAATGGGCGGGAAGAGAGGAATGGGGCAATCGCACAGGATTAGATGTTTTCATTTAATATTTTCTACTACAATAGCTTTTATTCCAAAGGCCAAGGAATCAATGTGGGGAATGTGCTAAATATTAAGTATGTTGACTCACTTGTACAAAGACTGGGGTGATGACCACTGAGTAGGTCTTTGATCCAGGCCTGAGCCCACTGCATTTTATTACCTGGCTCCTCTACATCCCCACTCTAACAGAGCATCATGATGGCAACGTGGACCCTGGATCAAGCGTTCTGAAAATATTTGGACATTCCCCCTTTCCATATTTTATAGTCACCTGAGTAAATGTCTACAGAACCCTTTGTGGAAAGCATTGGGAACACATTACTGTCTACAGTGTCATGCCACTGTAAGGTGTTTCCTCTTAAGGATTAGGCTTCTCTTTTAGTCAGTGGAATCCACATGTGAAACTGGGTTGAGGGCCAGAAATGAAGGCTAAAAATCATGACTTCTAATTGGGGCAACTTACCTCAGCCTCCTGATCATTACCCATAAATTATCTGTACAGGTTGAGTGGTAAATCTTAAGATATCCATGTATTCTGCTGCTAGAGATACATGTTTGATGGTCTCCACAGCTCTGTGCTGGTCAGGCCACCAGGTTGCCTCTCCAAGCTTGCCACTCATTGTGATAATTACCTATATTTGGCTCCTAATTCATAAATGCTACCACCTGGTATTCATTTTCAGTATGTTCCTCATCCACAGTGCTGTTAGTTCTGGAATGGTATTTCCTACTATCAGCCTTGGCCTGCAGAGGCAGGCCACCACTAAATTACTAAGTGATGCAGGCGCCCCTCTCACAAGCATGTTTCTGATGGTTTGGGTGAATAGTGTGTTCTACGGGCCTTCCCATGGAACCTAGTCCTTTACTGGGTCTTCTGAGCTTATGTTGTTTGTTCGCTCTATCATGAGCCTTTCTCTGACTCTTTCAGAGTGTCATGGATATTCTGGCATTTCTGTCTCAGCATGAGCAGCAGATAATGCCTCATATCTTGAATCCAGCCTGTTCCCTTTTGTAAATCAAGTTTTATTGAAACACACACAGCCACTCTCATTTATATATGTATTATTTATGAGAGCTTTTCCACTACAATGGCAGAATTGATGAGTTGCAATCGAGACCATGTGGCCTGCAAATCCTAAAATATTTATTATTTGTCCCTGGTAGCAAAAGTTCCCTTACTGCTCAAGTAGCCCATTGCTTGTTCCATGCTTCTAGAAACCATTCTAGTAGAGTAGTATTTCCAGAGTGTTAAATTCTGTGTTCTGAGAGTCCCAAATTGATAAGTTCTTGCTTATACAACTTTATTTTCCAGCCATTCTGATCAAACACCCTCAGAAACCAGTCTCGTGGGTAGTCTCCCAGCTCTTGCCAGTATATACTGGCTAGGTTCTCTAACTCTTTGGAGGCGCAGTCTCTTTCTCCATTATCAGTCTCTGCCTGTCCCTGACTGTGTCATGTTGTAACTTAACTCTAGTTATGGGTCTAGCAGTTAGAAGGAGAGGAAGGAGCATTCTAAGACAGGTATATGTTGCCTGGCAAAGAAGAAGCCTTTGCTTCATTTTCAAGAAAAGAGGGAGTGCTAGCTTCTAGCAGAGAGGCCACTTGTGCAAATTCAGAGGGTTTGGGGGAGTCGTGCCTTTCATAATTTTTGAGAGTATCAACCCAGATCTCCCATCACCTTTGTTAGGATCCCATTATGTCCCAAGCAGTGCTTAAACCTTGGCATAGCTTTACTTGGAAGTTCAAACTCATTGGCACTCAGCTACTCTGACAATTAAGCCCTGGTCCTCGTCCTAAGCTTACTCTTCCCTCTCATTGCACATGATAATTGTCTCTTTACAAACTTCCAAGGTGCTTGTCAGGCTTTCTTATTGACTTTTAATCATTAAGTAATTGCTCTCCACTCCATTTTATTTTTGTCTGAAGATCAATCAAGTTTGTCATTACAGTTACTAATTCTACCATATTGCTAAATGCTTAATAGAATGTATTAGCTGATTAATTTTCTTTCATCAGTATACATTGCACCAAGGACTCACTGTTTTCCATCTACCACCAGTGATGGGACTCTTCCAGCTAATAACATACATTTTTTTTTCTCCCAGAAAGGTGGGAAAATAGAACACAAAGGAAGGATGCTATAATAAACATCCTGGATTCATCTATTCAACTTTATTTGTAATTAACACTGGTGTCACTTAAAATTTCACTAGTAGGTTAACTATTTCTATCCCACTGTATCTTTTCCCAAGAGAGACCAGGTTTCTTGACTGGAATAAAGTACTTCAAAACTCTGTAACAATTTTATTACTCATATTAACAACAGGCTAATATCCACGAAATGCCAAAGGGTAAAATTAATACTCAGTTGCAAGTATAACCCAATCTATAAGATCATCACTAGAGCCACCCTGCATTAAAAAGCGCTTCCTTTAAATTTAGAAAGATAATAACTAACATTATTTACACTGGATATTTAAAATTATATTGATTTTTGTTTCCCTTTTTTTACAATTTTAACTTTTATTATAGATTAAGGGGTACATTTTCAGGTTTGTTACATGAGTATATTGAGTGATGCTGAGGTATCATTCCCACCACCCAGGTAGTGAGCATGGTACTCAAGAGGTAGTTTTTCTCCCTGCCTGCCTCTCCCATCTAGTACTCACCAGTGTCTATTGTTCTCATCTTTAAGTCTATGTGTATTGAATGTTTAGCTTCCACTTACAAGTGAGAAAATGCAGTATTAAGTTTTCTATTCTTACATTAATTTGCTTAGGACAATGGCCTCCAGTTACATCCATGTTGCTGCAAGAGACATGATTTCATTCTTTTTTATGTCTGCATGGAATTCCGTGGTATATATGTACCACATTTTCTTTATCCAATCCACTGTTGATGGGCACCTAGCTTGATTCCATGTCTTTGCTATTGTGACTGGCACTGCAATGAACATACAAGTACATTTGTCTTTTTGGAAGAATGAATTATTTTCCTTAAGGTATATACCCAGTAGTGAGGTTGCTGTGTTGAATGGCAGTTCTAAGTTCTTTGAGAAATCTCCAAATTGCTTTCCATGGTGGCTGAACTCGTTTGCATTCCTACCAACAGTGTATAAGCATTCTTTTTTCTTCACAGTTTCACCAGCATCTGTTACTTTTTGACTGTTTAATAATTGCCATTTTGACTGGTGTGAGATGGTATCTTATTGTGATTTTGATTTGCATTTTTTTCTGATGATTAGTGATGTTCAGCATGTTTTCACATTTGTTGGCCATGTGTATACCTTCTTTTGAGAAATGTCTGTTCATGTCCTTTGCCCATTTCTTAATTGGGTTATTTGTTTCTTGCTTTTGGATTTGTTTAAGTTTCTTGTAGATTCTGGATATTAGACTTTTCAGATGTATCATTTATGAACATCTTCTCCCATTCTGTAGGCTATCTGTTTACTCTGTTGGTAGTTTCTTTTGCTGTGCAGAGCTCTTTAGTTTAATTGGATGCCACTTGTCAATTTTTGTTTTTGTTGCAATTGCTTTGGGGACTTAGCCAAAAATTCTTTGCCAAAGCCAGTATTGAGAATGGCATTTCCCAGATTTTCTGCTATAATTTTTACAGTTTGAGGCCTTACACTTAAATCTGTAATCCATCTTGAGTTAATTTTTGTATATGCTGAGAGGTGGGGGTCCAATTTCATTCTTCTGAATATGGCTAGCCAGTTATTCATTTACTGAATAGAAAGTCCTTTCCTCATTTTTTGGGAGGGTCAATTTTGTTGAAGATCAGATGGTTGCAGGAGTGTGGATTTATTTCTGGGTTCTCTATTCTGTTCAATTGGTCTATGTGTCTGTTTGTGTACGAGTACTATGCTCTTTTGGTTACTGTAGTTTTACAGTATAGTTTGAAGCTGGGTAATGTGATGCCTCCAGCTTTGTTCTGTTTACTTACTATAGCTTTGCCTATTTGTGCTCTTTTTTTTTGGTTCATATAAACTTTAAAATAGATTTTTCCAATCCTGTGAAAAATGACATTGGTATTTTGATAAGGATAGCATTGAATTTGTAAATTGCTTTGGGCAGTATAATCTGAATGAAAGTTAATATACAGCTTAAATTTTTTCATACATAAGGATTTCTTTGCTTTCACAACACAACTGCTGCAATTTTCTTTCCTGTCTTCTTATATAACAGTGCTAAGAAACATGAAGGTTAAAGAGAGTATTCAGTGACTTCACTGTGGAAATATCATTATTAGGTACTGAAAAAAAATAAGAAAAAGAAAACTGTGGTTTCACTGCAAAGTTTTTAATCATCAATATTTAAGCACACCTAATTCTGATCTAACAGAGCCGAAAGGAGGAACATTTTTATTTGCTCGAGCTTTCAAAGATATCATGGAAAAATAAAATGTCAATAATCGTATACTAACTGTGGAATAACCACATAGGATATCATAACTGGGCAAGTAGCGACTTTCAACATTTTAAAACTTGAACTCAAAAGAATGCAGCTATGTGAAAAAATGCTGATGATGGAAAAAATGGTATGTACGTTAACAGAAAGAGAAAATGAGTTTTTTAAACATAAGGTGAGCAAGTGCAGAAATAGGGTGATTTTAAATGTGGGAAGCAGACTGTGAGTGATTGCTAATTATAAAAAGAAAGATGAAAGAAGCACCTGCAAGAAACAAGTGAGGCAATTATAGCAGGTGGAGAGATATTAATGGCTAAAGAGTGAACAGTATAGGGCAGATAGAATTGGGCATGAATATGGTTGTCAGTCTTGTCATGTTCCATCCACATAGAAACTACAATAGCAGAAGTAAAGAGGAGGGCTGTGTACCCACTTTAATGAAGAATGTAATTCATTAAAATGTAAAGACATCATGCATATTATTTTTTTTCTCATAATCATAACATTTTCTGTAGGTAGACATATAAGAGAGAAGAAATTACATGCTCATTTGCTCCTCTCCAAAGTAAGAAAAGTATTTTATTATATCGTTCTTAAATCTCAGTTTCTCTAACATAAAACCAACTGGATCCAAACCTGCATCTGGCTTTGGAATTTATTTCTTTGGATGCATATCAATGTGTGGGTATCTTTACCTCCGAGCCCGAGATATTCTCAGTACTATGGGTAAACAAACAAAAACACAAAACATGTTTGAGTTATAAGTCTATTTTCTTTTGTAATCTTAGTGTAATAGAATCTCAAAAGTAAAAGTGTGAATTCAGCCCAAACCAGATTCACTAGTTAAACAATAACTGTGAACCACTCCTTCTACTCCTAAATAGAATAGAAATTGTTTTTTATCTACAAATTCTTCTCTTTCAAATTCGCTAGACCATAGAAACCAAATATTATCTAAGAAAAAAACATTTTTGGGGCCGGGCATGGTGGCTCATGCCTGTAATCCCAGCACTTTGGGAGGCGGAGGCAGGCGGATCACGAGGTCAGGAGATCGAGACCATCCTGGCTAACACGGTGAAACCTCGTTTCTACTAAAAAGACAAAGAATTAGCCAGACGTGGTGACGGGCGCCTGTAGTCCCCGCTACTCCGGAGGCTGAGGCAGGAGAATGGTGTGAACCCGGGAGGTGGAGTTTGCAGTGAGCAGAGACCACGCCACTGCACTCCTTCCTGGGTGACAGAGCGAGACTCCGTCTCAAAAAAAAAAAAAAAAAAAATTAAAAGCGTAAACAATATCATTCTGAAATATTAAAACTTAATAACATGTAAATGAGGATAATAATTAAAAAGAGCAAATAAAATCTCAATTTCAATCTGAAACTTAAAAGTTAATACAATGCTTGGTATGAATGTCACTCAATTTTAAATCATGTGACACTCATACCAGGCATTGAATTAACTTTTTTCTGTGACTAGTATATAAATATCTAGGGGCGTGGCCCAGTAAAGTTCTAGATCATTAAAATTCCTTAAAATATTAACCAATTAATCAGGTAAGTGCTCATGACCAATTAGTATACATAGTGTATTAGTCAGGGTTCTCTAGAGGGACAGAACTAATAGGATACATGTATACGTGAAAGGGAATTTATTAAGGAGAATTGACTTACATGATCACAAGGTGAATTCTCATGATAGACCATCTGCAATTTGAGGAGCAAGGAAGCCAGTAGTGGCTCAGCCTGAGTTCCAAAACCTCAAAAGTAGGGAAGCCAACACTGCAGCCTTCAGTCTATAGCCGAAGGCCCGAAAGCCATTGGTGAAAGTCCAAGAGTCCAAAACTGAAAGAACTTGGAGCCTGATGTTCAAGGGCAGGAAGCATCCAGCATGGGAGAAAGATGAAGGCCTAAACACTCAGCAATTCAGCTCATTCCACCTTCCACCTGCTTTTCCTAGCCAGTCTGGCAGCCAATTTGATGGTGCCCTCCCAGATTGAGTGGGTCTGCTTCTGGCAGTCCACTGACTCAAATGTTAATCTCCTTTAGCAACACCCATACAGACACACCCAGGAACAATACTCTGCATTATTCAATCCAATCAAGTTGACACTTAACCATCACACATAGTAATCTGTTATTTAATATCGTTATTTCCAAACAAGAAGACTATACTTTATAATCCAAAAATAAAGAAGCAGCAGAGCGCGGTGGCTCACGCCTGTAATCCCAGCACTTTGGGAGGCCGAGGCGGGTGGATCATGAGGTCAGGAGATCGAGACCATCCTGGCTAACAAGGTGAAACCCCGTCTCTACTAAAAATACAAAAAATTAGCCGGGCGCGGTGGCGGGCGCCTGTAGTCCCAGCTACTCGGGAGGCTGAGGCAGGAGAATGGCATGAACCCGGGAAGCGGAGCTTGCAGTGAGCCGAGATTGCGCCACTGCAGTCCGCAGTGCGGCCTGGGCGACAGAGCGAGACTCCGTCTCAAAAAAAAAAAAAAAAAAAGAAGCAGCAGACCTGAGAAAATAAAAGCTCTATCAGAGCAGGTAAGGGGTGGGGGAGAAATGGTTGATTCATTGCGGGTTTGTATAAAGGTCTGCAGCTAGCTTTTGTGTCTAGAAATAGGCAAAAATATAATTTGTTTGTATGGTTGCATTTAGAAACCTAAATGATAATTAAAATATTTTTTAAATGGAGATGCTGAGGTATAGATGAGAGAGGTAAGTCAGATTATAGACTGGCCATCTGCCAAAAGTTGATGACATACACAACAACAGAAAAAAAAAAAATTTAAAATTTACCAGTAGCAACCATACAAAACAAGAAATCCAATTTTCTTTCTTAAATTTTGAAACATATTTGCCAAGGAAAGGTACAGGATTCTGGCTGGCAGAGTCAGGCCTTAGAAGCTGTATTAGAGGGAGGAAGAAAATCAAATTCTGACAAGTCTTATCAATAGCACATAACGTGTAGATGTGTCCAGAATTGGTGGGTTCTTGGTGGTCTCACTGACTTCAAGAATGAAGCGGCGAACCCCCGCGGTGAGTATTACAGTTCTTAAAGGCGGCGTATCCGGAGTTTGTTCCTTCTGATGTTCGGATGTGTTCCGAGTTTCTTCCTTCTGGTAGGTTCGTGGTCTCGCTGGCTCAGGAGTGAAGCTGCGGACCTTCGCAGTGAGTGTTAGAGCTCATAAAGGCAGTGTGGACCCAAAGAGTGAGCAGCAGCAAGATTTATTGCAAAGAGCGAAAGAACAAAGCTTCCACAGTGTGGAAAGGGACCCGAGCAGGTTGCCACTGCTGGCTCAGGCAGCCTGCTTTGATTCTCTTATCTGGCCCCACCCACATCCTGCTGATTGGTCCATTTTACAGAGAGCCCAGTGGTCTGTTTTGACAGGGTGCTGATTGGTGCATTTACAATCCCTGAGTTAGACACAAAGGTTCTCCACCTCCCCACTAGATTAGCTAGATACAGAGTGTGGACACAAAGGTTCTCCAAGTCCCCACCAGAGTAGTTAGATACAGAGTGTTGATTGGTGCATTCACAAACCATGAGCTAGACACAGGGTGCTGATTGGTGTGTTTACAAACCTTGAGCTAGATACAGAGTGCCCATTGGTGTATTTACAATCCCTTAGCTAGACATAAAGGTTCTCCAAGTCCCCACCAGAGTAGCTAGATACAGAGTGTCCCTTGGTGCATTCACAAACCCTGAGCTAGACACAGGGTGTTGATTGGTGTGTTTACAAACCTTGAGCTAGATACAGAGTGCCAATTGGTGTATTTACAATCCCTTAGCTAGACATAAAGGTTCTCCAAGTCCCCACCAGACTCAGGAGCCCAGCTGGCTTCACCCAGTGGATCCCACACCGGGGCCGCAGGTGGAGCTGCCTGCCAGTTCCGTGCCCTGTGCCCGCACCCCTCAGCCCTTGGGTGGTTGATGGGACTGGGCGCCGTGGAGCGGGGGAGGCGCTCGTCGAGGAGGCTCGGGCCACACAGGAGCCCACGGAGTTGGGGGAGGCTCAGGCATGGGGGGCTGCTGGTCCTGAGCCCTGCCCCATGGGAAGGCAGCTAAGGCCCGCGAGAAATTGAGCACAGCAGCTGCTGGTGCAGGTGCTAAGCCCCTCACTGCCTGGGGCCAGCAGGGCTCGCGGAGCCCTCGCCCACACGGAACTTGTGTTGGCCCGCAAGCACCGCATGCAGCCCTGGTTCCCACTCGCGCCTCTCCCTCCACACCTCCCTGCAAGCTGAGGGAGCCGGCTCCGGCCTTGGCCAGCCCAGAAAGGGGCTCCCACAGTGCAGCGGTGGGCTGAAGGGCTCCTCAAGTGCCGCCAAAGTGGGCACCAAGGCTGAGGAGGCGCCCAGAGCGAGCGAGGGCTGTGAGGGCTGCCAGCATGCTGTCACCTCTCATGAGGACTTGGGCTCTCAGAAAATGCAACAGAATCTTTGAGGCTCACCATTTTACAGGGCTTCAATCTGAATTGAAAAAAAATGACCTGAAACCCCAGAATATACTGCCACAGGACTAAGGGTATAACTCCAACTAGATGTAGGACAAAAATCTCAGATCAGAAAATAGAGGCCAGGTCATCTAACGTAGGCTGCATTCAGGTATTTGCAAAATTACCTCCTTCCTGGCCCCTTCCCACCAGAAGGCTCTGAAAAAGTAGCTAGAACTCACATACTACAGCTCTAAAATTCAGCTCTCAAGGAGGGATGGTTCTCAGATATGGCAGTTAAAGGCAAATTGTAACCACTCACTCTCTAAATAGGGTCCAGTGAAAGGTCTGTTTAGAGCTGCTCCTATTTAGCGTAAGCTAAATGAAGTAACTACACAGCCATACTACACCAAAAAAAAAAAAAAAGAAAAATGGAAGAAATAAATCAAAAATATCACAAGAGATCATAGCATGCAAAAGCCAGATGAAGAATTTATTATGGAAAAAATAATCTAACAAATTCAGTAAAAAGATCATTCCCCACAAATATATTATAAATGAATTTAATAAAAACATATATTCAATAATGTAAGAGTTCAAAGCTAAGATAAACAACCAAATAAAATTGAAAGAGAAGTTCCGGAGCCAGGAAAACAAAAAATCCAAAGGCTATTTGCAAACAAATACATTGTAAACATGAAAGCACAGACATACAAAAAGACATGAGATTACCATTTGTATGTAAAGGAAGTGGCCTAAAAGTTTAATGAAGTAGACAAAACTTGATACAAATGGAAGGAAAAGATTGTCTGGGCCAAGGAAATCAAAAGTGGTGTGGTGCACTCAACATATGGCACAGGAGATATGTTCAAAGACAGAATATAAAAATTTCCTAAAGCACAAAATAAGTAAAACTGTAGACTGAAACATTTAAGAAGTTTTGGAATATAATGCCTATGAGCCTTTCCAGAAAAGTACAAAGTCCAACCAACCAACAGATAAATCAAAAGAAAGATGGCAATAAAAAAGGACTGTGGTGTTTGATGAGTCCTGAATCCACTAAATACAGAAAAAATAAAAGGAAACATCAGTGATATTTATATTACAGAAAAAGAATGTTTTAGAATTTTTGACAAAGAAAAGCAAGTAATATAAACTTTAAAAACTGAAGTTCAAATAAGGGGGGTTAGAGGCAAACTGGGCACTCTCTTATTTTCACATAGGTAGGAAATCACATAATACTATACAAAAAATAAATTTAGACTTTTTGGCATCATCTTGATGCTTTTATATACTTTTTAACTTTAGAGGTATCTTTATGAACTCTTGTGGTAAAAGATTATTTATCCAAGGTACAACAATCCATTTTGTGTGTGTGTTAAAATATTAGTTAATTTTAATACTGCTGTTAAAAAAAAATTCAGTCAAATTAAAGTTAGCAAAATTTATTTGAGCAGAGAATAATTCATAAATTAGGCAACACCCTGAACTAGTGAAGGCTCAGAGAGCTCCCCCAAGTAGTCTGAGCAGAGAGCTGTTATAGGCCAGACACAGAAGGAAAGTAGAGGAATCACCTGATTGGCTATAGTTAGGCATCTGGCTTATTCGGGCATGCCTGTGATTAATGGGAACGTGGCTGCTTGTGACTGGCTGAAACTCAGCTATTTGTTAAACTCCTAAATTAGGTTTTGGTTTGTTTACATACTAAGTTAGGTTATAATTTGTTATGTAGGAGCTCAAACTACAGAGATAGTCTCAGGCTTAAGGCCTCTTGCTTATTTAATTTAATACTGGTAAACTAGCCATTACTATTTGATCACATTTTATAAAATTATTACTATGTGTGTATATGTGTGTTGGTGAGTATACATTTCTCTATTGGCCTAGAAGTATATATAAATATCTGGAATAATATTTACTTAACGCTAATGATGGTTATTGTCAGATTATAAAATTAGGGGTGATATTTTGCTTCCTTCTTTGTTGTTTTCTATTTAGCTTATAATTTCCATGATCCATTATTACATCAACTGTGAAATAATTTTTCTAAAAAATTTGGAAGAATTAATGGTCAAGATGGTGACAGGTCACATACTTGGAAACATTTGGTTGTTTCACAGTTTCCTTGGCTGAGCCTTTATTGACCTAAATTTTATTCTAAAGAATAAAAAGCTGTTAGCCAGCTAAAAATAATGAGTTTTCAAAAAAATTAACTGGACAGCTGAAGAACAATAAATAGGTTTGAGTCCAAAAAAGCACTTGGGAAATGCATTATTGACAGTCAAAAATGATGGTAAAATTTTGCATTTTCTAATGCTTTTTATCTTCAAAGTTCTCTCCACAGAATATTTAATTATTTCTCATAGAATACCCTGATGGTACTAGGAAAAATCATGGTTTTTATTACAGAAAAAAAGGAGCAGTTAAAAAAAATCATGTCTGCTTCCTTCTAAGTTTATGGGTTTCTAATGTTTATTGTTTTCTAATGTCAAGGATATCTTCCAGTGTGGAAGATACAAATTATTTAACAATTTAATTACAAGCTTGCAATTTTAAACCTAAAGAACATTCCATTTTTACATTAATGCTGCTAGACCAATACATTTATACTTTAACCTAAATGTATGCCATCTACCTAGGGTTTATTATCATCTTTTGTAGAAATATAAATTCTGAGTACAAATATCTACTTAGAAATAAAAAAAATTAAACTAGAAAGATCTCTAACACAATCCCTTTCATTTTACAGATGAGAAAACTGAAATCCTGTAGATGAAGGGATATATCATTTGCCAAAATACATTGAAGTTTTGGCAGAACTTAAGTTCAAACTCACAGCCTCTCTCAGACTTTTGTTCTTTCTATGCCACACAGCAATAATTCTCTTGAGTGCCGTTTTCTTAAAAAAAGAAAGATGTCAAAATGTCAAACCAGGTTATCTTTGCATCACATAAAGAAAGATTTGAGCAAAATTTTCTCCTTAAATTCTTATAAATTCAATTTCTGTGTAAATAACAGTATATAAACATCTGAATTATTACATGCAAAAAAACAAAATATTTGATTCTACTATGATTCATAAGGTATTTTAACTGTAGGCAACCAATATGGTAAAGTTACTATATGTTCCCTTGATTAGGAGGTGGAAATGGCTTATCAAAGATATAGTAGTTCAACCAATCTTCTAGGAAGCTCCAATTTTAAAAACATAAATTATTTTTGGAAATTAAGGAATCTTATTCACAAGTTCAATGTACATCAGACATTGTGGTGATTGTCTGCATAGCTTTCACTGAAACAAAATTTATACCTAGAAGAGTTTCATCCTTTTAAAGCTATCATTTCCTGAACACGTTTTAAGGCATTGTTTACTTATTTGTTCACTTGTTTTGATACACCATATTTGTGGTTGGCAATTCTGTTATGTCATTTTATTATGCTTTGCTCTTTATATCTCTTCGAAATGTGTCACTCAAGCTTATAACTTTTTGTTCACTTAAATTCAGTTTAACAGGTATGTACTAAGTACTTGTTATATACAAAGCATTTCTCTAAACATTGAGAGAGATAAAATATGACTACAACACAGCCCTTTTCCTTAAAGATTTAAAATTATGGGGGAAAACACTATACATAGAAATAACTAATATACGAGTTCCAACATAAAAAGTGCTGATGCAAAAGTATAAACAACAGGCACTGGGGGAGGTCAGTAGAAATAAGAGGTGAAAGAACCACTTGTGATACTCCTGACACGTTCTGAGAGCTCAATAGATGGTAGTGGTTTGTTTTTAGTCTTACTGTAGGACCACATCATGCTCCAACTCATCAGCTCACTCCCCAAAGAACATCAACAGTATAAAAACCTATTGTTAGCTGCCATGAGTCTTTTCCATTATCAAGAGAAAATCAACATACAATAAATTAAATCAAACTCACTTATTTTCATAATGCATTTAAAAATTTTACATGTTCATAATCTACTTCCTGTGCTCATTTCTCTCTTTTCCTGCTTAGTTCCAGCAAAGTGACAACACTGGTTGAAGCCAGGATTATAGTCTAGGCTTTTCTATGTTGAGACATAAGTAGCATCTTTAACACCCTCAAAGGTGTATCATGCCAGATCCAAGACATTCACAGGCCTACATTTGTCATAAAAAAATATTATAGCACTATTTCTAAGTTTGCTTATTCAAAAGTCAAGAAAGTTGAGAATTAAATGGAACCACACTCCCTTTTTTGTTTTTTTTTTCCCAAGAAGGAGTCTTGCTCCGTCGCCCAGGCTGGAAGTGCAATGGTGCAATCTCAGTTCACTGTAACCTCCACCTCCTGGGTTTTCAAGTGATTCTCTTGCCTCAGCCTCCCAAGTAGCTGGGATTACAGGCACCCACCACCACACCCAGCTAATTTTTGTATATTTAGTAGAAATGAGGTTTCACCATGTTGGCCTGGCTGGACTTGAACTCCTGACCTCAGGTGATCCGCCTACCTTGGCCTGCCTAAGTGCTGGGATTACATGTGTGAGCCACTGCACCTGGCCAACCACACTCTTTTTAATGAGTGTGTATCATTGTCTTATATCATTTTACTAACAAAGGCAGGATTTTCAAAACTTTGCATTAATTAGAATACCATGTCACATGACTATTTGTAGTCTTAGGAACACTTTGTGCTCTTTAGGCATGGGGGCAGTCAGAGAAAATGGAAAAGAAAAGTGACTTTTCAGGACAGCTTCACCAAAGTGCCAGTTAATACAATCCAGTTGTTTGGAGTGAGGGAAATTTCCCACCAAGTAGTTAATCATCCTTTGCAAAGTCTTGCTGAAACCTTGTACTCCTCTGCCCTTGGCACTTAGAAACATTCCACTCTGTGAGCGCTGGCTGCAAAACAAGATAAAGAGTAAAAATCAAGCGGTAGCTAACAAAATCCTTGCCACTCACAGACATTTATTTTGACTAATCCAAATGCTACAAAATGTATATTCAGATGCCTTTAGTCTGGTCTTGGAAATGAATATCAATATCGGACCCCATTTATTAGATAAAATCATCAAGATTCAATAAAAATTAACATATAACATATCAAAATTTATGGAATACAGCTCAAGTAGTGCTTAAAGATTGAAATGCTTTTATTGATAAAGAAAAAGAGTTTTCAAATCAATAATGTAAGCTTCTACCTAAAGACATCAAATAAAAGCAGCAACAACAGACTTAAAGGAATCAATATAAAGGAAATAATAAGGATTAGAGAAAAAAATTACCGAAACAGAAAACTAGGATATTTTAAAAATTCAATGAAATAAAAAGTTGGTTCATTGAAAAGATCAATAAAATTGACAAATTTGTTACTAGACTGAATGAGAAAATAAGACAAAAATTACCAGTATCAGGAATGGAAGAGGGGTATTACTACCACCCTTACATAAATAAAAAAGATTATAAGCTAATGAAATGAAGAAATTTCTAGGAAGAAATAAATGACCAAAACTGATTGAAGAATTATTTTTCCTAACAGAAGAAGAAATAACAAATCTGAATAGATCTATAGTAAGAAAATAAATTAAATTTGCAATTTAAAGTCTTCCCACAAAGAAAAGCCCAGATCCAGATGAATTTCCTCAGAGAAGAGCTTTGTCAGGGAACCCTGGTATCCTTGCACATCTCCACATAGGCCATGTTGGCAGGCCTCATAGGCAGGTTGACATTAGTCTAAACCAAGTTTTGGTGGATAACCTGGCATTTTTCCTGGATCAAAGAGAAAGAAGCTTCCTAAGACTTACTGCGAGGCAATTTCTCAGTCCTATCTTGTAGGAGACTGCCACAAGAAATTTCTCATCTACCTTCCTACTTTCAGTGAGTGCAGGACTTTCCAACTTTCTCTCTTCTTGGATATAGCTGGAGACCCATGTGGAAACATAAAACTGCTTGGCTATAGTTTAGAGGATACTTCTCCATGACAGAGTGACTTACTCTTGTGTCGTCTATCATCTGGACTTTGGTTTGGTGTCATTTGTGGGATTAGGAGTGTGTGGAGTTGACACCATGCTAACCTTGCTTCTGTTGTCTGTGTAAGTAATTAACTATCTGGTTTCTTTTGAGCTCATCGTCTCATACAACTGATCTATGGAAGTATGTTTGAAAAGTCAACCTAACAGCAGCAGTAGTCTTATTAGCCACTGCACTGATGCTTGGCTGCTTCATTGGTGAATTTTACAAATATTTGAATAAATAATGCCAATCCTTCCCCAGAAAACACAGGCAGAGGAAAGACCTACCAATCATAATTGTTACCCCAATACAAATTACCTTCAAACCATAGCCAAAGAAATACTAAAGGAGAAGAAAAAGAAAACAACTATAGATCAATATCACTCATAAATAAATGTGCAAGACTTCTTAGTAAATGCACACTTAAAAAGACACACCATGACCAAGGATTCATCCTAGTAATGCAAGAATGCCTTAATGTAATATATTCTATCAGTAGAATGAAAGACACAACCCATATGATCACAATACATGCAGGAAAAGTATTTGTAAAATAAGACACCCATTTATAATTAAAAAACTCTCATCAGATTTGGTACAGAAGTGAAACTTCTCACATGATAGAGGGCACATAAAAAATCTCACAGCTGGTATCGTCATTAATGATAAGAGACTGAATGCTTTCCTCCTAAGGTTAGGGACAAGCAAGAATGCCTGATCTTGATGCTTCTATTCAACATTGCACTTGAGGTTCTAAACGTAGATGATAATAATAATAATAACAATAATATTAATCAATTAAAGGCAACCAAATTGGAAAAGAAAAAGCATAAAACTCTTATAAATGATATAATCTTGTTTGTGAAAAATCTCAAAAACCACACATACACACACACACACACAATCTCTTAGAACTAATAAAAAAAAGTTGAGGAGGGTAGCAGTGAGCGATCTCGGTTCACTGCAACCTCCGCCTCCCGGGTTCAAGTGATTCTCTTGCCTCAGCCTCCCAAGTAGCTGGGATTACAGGTGCCTGCAACCATGCCTAGCTAATTTTTGTATTTTTAGTAGAGACGAGGTTTCACTGTGTTGATCATGGTCAATAAATAAAAGTCAATTGTATTTCTTTACACTAGCAATAAACAATCTAAAAACGAAAATAAGGAAATATTACCATCCACAATACCATCAAAAATAATAAAATAGAAAATACATAGGAATAAATTTGACAAAAGAGGTATAAAATTTGTACTCCAAAAATTATATAACATTGCTGAGATAAATTAAAGATGTAAATAAGTAGATGGGCATTTCATGTTCCTGAATCTGATAACTCAATATTGTCAGCATGATAATTATCTGCAAATTGATCTATAAATTCAAGGCAACTCCTAACCAAAAGTATATCATGCTTTTTTTTTGTAGAAATCGACAATCTGATTCTACAACTCATTTGAAAATGCAAATAAAGTAGAATATCCAAAACAATTTTGAAAAAGGACAAAATTGGAAGACTATTTGATTTTAAAACTTATAAAACCTACTAATAAAGGCATAGTAGTTGTATAAATGCAGTATTGGCACAAAAATAGGCATGTAGCTCAGTGGATCAGAATTGATAGTACAGAAACAAATGCTTATATTTATTTCTAGTCAATTAATTTTTATAACAGCCTTATTGATGCATAATTCACATACCATTAAATTTAGTGTACAATTCACTGATTTTTAATACACTCAGAGTTGTGCAACCATTAGTATTATCTAATTTTAGAACATTTTTATCAACCCCAAAGAAACTCTACACTCTAAAAGTCATTATATATTCCCACAATTCTCTACAGCCCCAGGCAACAACTAATCCACTTTTGGTCTCTCTATATTTGCCTTTTCTAGAAATTTCATGTACCCAATATCACACAGCATGTGGTTTTTTGTGACTGGCATCTTTCACTTCGCATAATGTTTTCAAGGTTCATCCATGTTGTAGCATGTATCAGCACTTCATTTCTTTTTATTGTCGAAAAATATTCCATTGAATAAATGTGCCATATATTATCCATTCTATTGGTAGACATTTGGGTAGTTTCCACTTTGAGTTATTAGGAATAATTCTGTTATCAGTATTCATGTACAAGTTTTTATGTGGATGTAACTTTTCATTTCTCTCATGTATATATTTAGGATTTAAATTGCTAAGTATTAAATTAACTCTGTGTTTAACTTTTTGAGGAACCGCTAAACTGTTCTCCAAAGTGGGTGCACCATTTCAACTCCCCATGAGCAATGGATGAAGGTTCTAATTTTTCCAAATCCTCACCAACTTGTTATAATATGTCTGTCTTAATTATAGCTATCCTTGTAGGTTTGAAGAAGTATCTTGTGGTTTTGGTTTGCATTTCCTAATAGCTAATGATATTAAACACCTTTTTATGTGCCTTTGGGCCATTTGTATATCTCCTTTGTAGATTATCTATTCAAGTACTTTACCCACTCTGTAGTTGGGTTGTTTATCTTTTTATTGTTGAGTTCTAAGAGTTCCTCATATATTCTGAATACGTTTCCCATAATATATATGACTTGCAAGTATGTTCTCATATTCTGTGTGTTTTTCTTTTGATTTCTTAATAGTATCCTTTGAAACTCAAATGTTCAAAATTTCAATGAAGCCCAATTTGTCTATTATTTATTTTGCCTTTTATGCTTTAGTCTCCCAAGAAATTATTGCCTAACATAAAGTAGTGATCATTTACTCTCATGTTTGCTCCTAAGAGTTTTACAGTTTTAGCTCTAACATAGATCTATAATCCATTTAGTTCATAATTGTATATAGTGAAAGGTCCAACCTCATTCTTTTGTATGTGGGTTTCCAGTTGTCTCAGCACCATTTGTTGAAAACTATTCTTCGCCCATTGAATTGTCTCAGCACCTTTGCCAAAAATGTATTGACTATAAATATTTATGATTCTCAATTCTATTCTATTAATCAAAATATTTATCTTTATTCCAACACCACACAACCTTGATTACTGTAGGATTTTTTGGCAATAAGTTTTGAAATTAAAAAGTGTGGGTTATCAAACTATATTCTTCTTTTTCAGAATTGTTTTGGTTATTCTGGGTCCCTTACATTTTCCTATGAATTTTAGGGTCAGCTTGTTAATTTTTAGAAAAAGGTGGCTGAGATCTTAATAGAGATGGTGTTAAATCTGTAGATCAATTTATTGAGTATTGCCATCTTGATTATATTTGCTTCTAATCCATAAATATTAAATGCCTTTCTATTTTTTAGATCACAATGTTCTGCAGTTTTCATTGTACAAGTCTTAAACTTTTGTTAAATTTTGTCTAAGTACTTACAATATTTGATACTATTGTAATGATATTGTTTTCTTAGTTTCATTTTTTGGGTTGTTCATTACTAGTACATAGAAATACAAACGCATTTCACATGGTAATCTGTAACAGTGCTGAATTCGTTCATTAGCTCTAATGATTTGGGGGGATTTTTAAGAATTTTCTCTATATAAGATTATGTCATCCCAAACAGATAGTTTAACTTTTCCTTTTCAAATCTGGATGCCTTTTATTTTATTTTATTTTATTTTTCTTGCTTAATTGCCCTGACTAGAACCTCTCATTCAATATTAAATAGAAATGGTGAGAGCAGTCAACTAATGTTTGACAAAGACGAAAAGACAATTCGATAAGGAGAAGATAGTTTTTTCAATAAGTAGTGCTGGGATAATTGGATATCCACGTGCAAATAAAAAAAGAGTACAGCCTCTCACACTATATGAAAATTAACTCAAAATCAGTTATAGATATAAATGTAAGAGTTCACACTCTAAAATTTCTAGAAGAAAACATAAGAGAAAATCTTTGTGAGCTTTTTAAACTTTCAGTTTTTACATTCAATGCCAAAAGCAAAACATATAACAAACATTGATAAATTGGACTTCATCAAAATGAAAAACCTTTGCCGCAAAGGACATCATTATGAAAAGGAAAAGACAAGCCACAGACCAGAAGAAGATATGTGTAAACTATACATATGTGATAGAGGGCTTATATCTAAAACATATAAAGAACTCTTTCAACTCCAAGAGGACATGCAATCCAATATAAATATAGGCAAAAAACTTAAACAGATCACCAAATAAAATATACAGGTGACAAATATGCTAATAAATAAGGAAAAATGTTCAATGCCATCATAAAAATGCAAATCAACTATGAAGTATCACTATTCCACCCAAGAGAATGTCTATAATAAAAAAGAGAGCCAATACAAAGTTTTGACAAGGATGTGAAGAAACTGGAACCCTCATACACTGCTTATGAATGTAAAATGGTATAACCATTTTGGAAAATGGTTTGGCAGTTTCTTAAAATGTTAGACATAAACTTATACAACACACCAACTCCTCTTCTAGGAATATGCTCAAAAGAAGTGAACAATTATATCCACAAAACCACATATATGCAATTATCCATAACAACACTGTTCATAATAATAAGACTATGAATATTCCCAATATTCACCAAATGGAGAATTGATAAACTAAATATGGTATACTCAGACAATAAAATGCTATTCAGCTATAAAATATGCTACAACAAAAATGAATCTTGAATATAATACATTAAGTGAAAAAAACAGATACAACATAACTACAGTTTGTATGATTCCATTTATGTGTGTGCTTTTGTTTGTTTGTTTGTTTTGAGCTGGAGTCTCGCTCTATCACCCAGGCTGGAATGCAGTGGCACAATCTCGGCTCACTGCAACCTCTGCTTCCTGGGTTCTAGTGATTCTCCTGCTTCAACCTCCCGAGGAGCTGGGACTATAGGCACCCGCCACCACACCCAGCTAATTTTTGTATTTTTAGTAGAGACAGGGTTTCACCATCTTGGCCAGGCTGGTCTCGAACTCCTGACCTCAGGTGATCTGCCCACCTCGGCCTCCCAAAGTGCTGGGATTACAGGTGTGAGTCATGGCACCCAGCCATTTATGTGATTTTTTTTAAAAAGGCAAATTTATTAAAACAAGCAGACCAATGATTGCCTCATACTGAAGGTGGGAGTGAAGATTAGCTGCAAATGTGAGTAGGAAACATTTGGAGTTAATGAAAATCTTCTAAAACTAGATTGTGGAAATGCTGCACAACAATATAAATCTAAAAATCACTGAATTATATACTAATAATATGTGACTTCTATGGTTTGTAAATTATAACTCAATATAATTTTTTAACAACCAAAAGGAAATATTCTAATAGTAATTAGCAGCATAACTTTCAGTGAAATCAATAACACAACATTAAACATTAGAATTGAGGTCCTAGTAAGCTTATTAAGTAAAGATAAAATAGAAGATATATAAAGATTTAAGATTAATAAACTGTCATTATTCATACATGATTTGATTCTGTTATCTCTAAAAAAAAAACAATGTAATCTACCTGCAAATTGTTTGAAATATTACAACCACTTAGCAAACTGGACAGAAATAAAATCAATATAAAAATATTAGTTATATAAATGGAGAACAGATTTTATATTTTTATATGTAACACAAAATATATATGTTCATATATAATGTAAACTATATACTACATATATTTTCTTATACAACAAATACATGTACACATATATATATATACACAGACAAAATATAAAGTACTTAGAAATGCTTCTCAAAAAAGTGTACAATACCTCTATACAGAAAATCATAAAACAATGAAGACTTAAACAAAAGATTCCCCATTTGTGTTTATTAATACTTTGTTAGTGAAGAGGAATACTCAAACTGAAAAAAAAGTCAAAATTCACAAAATCTGTGGATTCAATAGAATTTCCAACAAAGTTTTTTGTAGAAATACACAAGCTGATTATAAAATTTATATGGACAAGAACAACTTAAATTTTAGCCAAAACACTTCTGAAGAATAAGTTAGGGGAACTTGTCCTAGAAAATACTGAATTATTATGAATTACTTGGAGTTAAAACCGAATTGTATTGGAAGAGAAAGGGAAGGCAAAGAAAATTCTAAATATAGATTTTTTTTCATATTATAGACTAACTTTTAAAAGATAATGGAACTGAAGTCTATGAAATATCTAGTCATAAAATATTAGTTTTCAAGAATTGATTTCTGTCCATGAAAAAGAGGGAGGCCATGTGACTTGCAGTACTTGTCTGAATGAGTATATATTGTTCCCACATCATTCACATCAGGCTTGACCATATGACTTGTTTTGAGTGATGATAAGATGATGCACAAAGTGGAGAGCTGCACACTCAGGCATATAGTAACAGTTGTTCAGCACATGGTATCACCAAACTGGGTCCTCCTGCCTGAGGGACTGAAGGAATCCATGGAGCTCAGCATGCATGCTTCATCATCCATGCTTCATCATTTTCGTGCAGCATACAAACCCCTGCCCTACTGTTATATGCTAATTGGGCATTCATTTTTATCTGAGTGTTCATAAGTACATAATTTTCAGTGCATTTAAATAAAGGATAAGGACTGACTTTAGTGTAATGTACGTGGATCAGAGATCAGAGTATAGAATATGTTTATTAGCCTTTATTCTAACAGTTAGCTCTCTACCTAACGTAATGCTAGATTTTTCAAAGTACAGAATATACTTGATGTGTGATTTAAATTTTTTTAATTGATTTTTAGATCTCCATAGCTATAAAATAGTCTGTTATTCTCAAGGAGTTGCATTGCCACCAGCATCCCCAGTAAAAGCAGAGGTCATTTTCTCTTTATCACTTAGGTATAAGTAATCAGTGCCACCCACAATTGATCACTGGATCCTTTGAATAAACTTTTCATCAAACAGGTACACTTTCACTAAGTGATTTTGTTTTTCCAGAAAATTCAGAGCAATAGGAAAATAACTCATAAGCAGCAGTATGATTAAGAAAAAGGGTTGTTGAAAACATACGAGACAGATTCAAAATAATTCTTAGGTTCTTCCACAGAATTTTCCTAAAGTCCTAATTAGGAACACACAGTCGTTATTTTACTTCATGTTAAGGAAAAATGCTACAAAATAAGTATAACCAAAATCAAGGGATTTTATCATAATTACATATAAATATATAGCTTAAAGACAGAGTTCTATTTGACATCAAAAGTGGCAAACATTAACTAAAGAAATGAAGCCTACCAAGAAACATTTACAATCTAACTGAAGGACAAATTATACTGTTTAGTCTAGTTTTTTAAAAAACAGTAGAAGGCTTTATAAATGCGTAATAAAATACCAAGAGCTTAGAGACTTAAAATATAGGCTTTGGCCAATTGAACTAGAGAGTCCAGGTATTCTGTGCTGCCAGCTAAAGACTTGATACAAAATATGGAAGTTTTTATGCAGTGAAAGCCCAGAAAGTACTTCCAGTATCCAGGAGGAAAGCTCAGGGAAGGAAGAACAGGAGGAACATGAGATCCTTTCACCAGGACCCACATAAATCTATACAAGATGTGAGGCTGCTGGTAGCAAGAGGACTCAGCACTGGGCAACTCTCATAGAAAATGGAGGACTCCTGGGAAGGAAGGTCAACACTTGGAAATTAAGAACAGGACAGGTAAACACACACCAAGAACTGAAGTACTAAGTTAAGAGAAAACAAAGAAAACCAAACTCTTGATTTCTCCCTATTTCAAGACGTAAATCTGAGGTGAGGCCAAAACTATAGCAAAGGATTATTAATTCCAGCGATAGAGGGTTTGGAGACAGGAGCCAACAAAGACATTGTACCTAAATAAATGTCTGGTACAAAGTCAATGCTCCAATATTTACTTGTGAATTTTAATTGATATACGAAGGACAACATTTGGCATGGTATCTTAAGGGTATACATGGCAACCCCTGAATAGTGAAAACAGAAACGTACGTTTTTTAAAAGGAGAGTAATAAAGAGTTTTTTCTTGCATACATTTTAGGAACTAACTTTCTCCTAAGTTTACATTTCCAAAAACTTGTTAGGTAGCCTCAATAATACAATGTCTGGACTCAAAGAGGTGAGGAGGGGAGTCGCTAAAGTTTAAGATGGCTCTAATAACAAGAAATAATGCAGTACAACAAGAGTCCATTATTTCTTTTTGATAATCCTTTCCTAAATTTTTGCTAACTGTCTAAAAGTGAAATTCAAGAACGTCCTTTGGAGTCTCTTGGGACTAAGGCTCTTATGCATTGTACTTTATCAACTGGCTACATCAAAGACAAGTGCAAAAAAGTTAGATGTATTTTCACATTATATTATAGAGTTTTCAGCTTATATTTACACATTTATAGGCTGGATATTTAGAATGACTTCTTAGTTACATTAGAATCAGTGCCAAAAACAAAATTCTTCTTGCCTCTCTGTCCTCAACAGACACTATGTCAATGTTCTTTCTGTGACCACAAAAGCACTAATTGCAATAAGGAAAAAATTCCTGTGTCCAAGTAACAGACATTATTTTATAATTTAAAAAAATGGCTATTTTTACATAATGATATGAACCCTAGGAAAGATGTCCTGGTCAGTTATAATTTATTAAACATATGATTGCACTCTATTATAAAACAAAATTTATCAATGTTGTTAATATCTTAAGTCTACAACAACCAGAGATCCACGAAACAGGATTTGATTATCCAGTTTGAAGATAACACTGGCCTTCTGCTGCCTCCCACTGCTCAGACTGGGGACATTGAAACATGTGAAACCAAGAGAGGCTGACACTCAGGCAAGTATTTGAGAAGTTTTGAAAATTCACCTGGAGGCAAACATTGAAATCTATAGCTAATATGAATTTTTTGAAATTTCAACCTTTCAGATATAATAGTTCACCTTATACATTGCAGGTTTAAGAAGTAATATAACCAGATGCTAAAAGCATATGCTTTGGATCAGAGCCTTAACATGGAATCCTTACTCTGCTTCTTAATAAGTAACTTACATTTTTAAACCTCTCTAAAACTCTCTTTCTTGATTTATAAAATAATAGGAATAATATTATTAGTTATCTTATGGGATGTCTTGAAGATTCAGATTATATATGTAAAGAACTTATCACATTACCTGGCACAGAGTAGGTACTCATTGTTCGAGAATCTTCATTGTTTTTATTATTATTCTAAACAGTGCAGCTCTTAAAGAATCTTTTAGCCAAGTGTCAGAAATATAATCCTGATTTAGCAGATAACAATGCCAGCCATTGCCAGGTGGGCAGACAGCCTCTGACCATCACCAGCAAGCCCCTGTGGTTAGCTGAATATTGGCTGTCAACACTAGCGCTCGCTTTAGCGAATGGGAAAGGATCCCCTTAGTAAATGTTACTAATGTTTCTAACATGCCCCATAGGTACTGGAAGAGAAATTTGAAGACTTTTTCCAAATCTAAAAACGAATATTGGGTTTGATTCAAGAGAAAAGTCTGCTCATTCCCAAACTGTTTGAACGAATCCTAGAACACAGTGGAAAGTGGTTTTGGTTCATTTTATTTGGGAATCTCTTTTTGATGCCTGTGCCATCTAGCAGCAGGGTCCTAAGGAGTACTTTCTCATGTTAGTCATTAAAGCTAAGGCCTACAAAGTAGTCATAAAACTCAGGCTCCAGCTCTCAACAATTATCAGTATCTAAATGTAATGAATTTTCTTCCCAGGGTCTCCACTGCGCATATAATAAGGAGTGATCAGTATACACTGAATCAATCAGAATTCTTTGTCTAGCAACAGCACTGAATCTGCTAGATGGCAAAGGATAAACACAGAAGAGACCCTTAGGGAAGCTGTTGAGAAGTCAGCATTACTGCCTATTAAATTGAACACCATCCAATTCACATGCATTGTGAGAGGTCTGAAAAATTATCTATTGTTCTTCTCAGACATCCATTTTAGATTACATGTTTAATTTAATGGTTGAGGTCTTTGGGAGTCTGGATCCCTAGTTCTTTTTAACATACTATGCACCATCTGGATAAAATGGAGTACAGGGTAGGTTAACTCTTCCTTTCTGTATTTCTAAATAAAGATGCAAAAGCATTTATTCAGATCAGCCCTCTCATGGCACTACATTTAAATTAGAAATTACAATTATTTTCCACTGCTTTCTCATTTATTTATTTTAATACACTGTACAAAGTGGAAAGAAAGGGTAATAAAAGTGTACTGAGTGATTTTCCAGCAGATAGAAATACCCTCACTTGCATTGCACCTATAGTTGGTATAATTTACCTTTTGCCATTTCAGTGCCATTTTCACTCTAAACTGTGACAGTTGGAAAAAATTATTTTTCTAAGTCACAGTCTGTTGCCAACCAGGGAAACGCATTCCTCAAAGAAAGTGCAAAATTGTTCGGTTCTCCTAACTCTTGCACACTAGCATAAGTAACATTTCAAGTAAGTCACTTCAAGTAGAATTCTGCTACAATCTTCAGTGCCCTTGGACATTAACAAAAATACGATGTTAGCAGGTATTTAACGTGTTCATCAAATTATCCTCCATTCATAGCCTGCTCCAGTCACTCAGTGATTAACCATTACACCTGCTGAGCCTAGAAGCTCTTTCTTAGTGCTCTCTGTGGAAAAGGAAGAGAAATGTCTTATCCAGTAAGTTCACTGTGGCTGCCGCTCTTGGCAATATTGCAAAAGGCTTTTCTGCCTGGAGACAACGTTGGAGGATAAGAAATATTTGAGAGAGGGCTAAACTGGTTGTGAGTTGAAACATGTTTTACCCCAAAGAAAGAAGGATAATATATTCAAGGAGGAAAGAAAAATAATGCAAATACAGTGCTTCATGTATGCTAATAGTACCTTCTGGTTTATTACCACCTCAGGTAGTGCAGACTTCTATAGAAGCGACATAACTTAAGCCCACTTTTCAGGAAATACCAACACAGGTATTTTTGATTTTGAAATGAAAGGAGAGGAAGAAACTGAATTAAATGCTGTAAAATTTATCCAAATTTATGATAACTATATCTTATGTGAATAAATAAGACAGTTTCTTCCATAAAATGTAATTGTTTTGATCAAGCTATTGAGCAAGCACCAGACTAGAATAAGTACTCTCAAAATAATCTGATATGTGAGCAAAAATATATTCACGAAGAAATGTGAATTTCAGATCAAATTTATAAGTCAAAAACTAGAAACACTTTTTATAAATCCAAACAGTTTTTGATTAAGAAAATTATTTACTCTAATAAAATTAAATAATATGCAGCCATTATAGTTCACAACATTTTTATTTACATGGAAAAATATCCATAAAAAGTTACATAACAAAAGTAATGTGAAATAGAGACATCAATGTTTGAAGAAAACTGAGTTATTCTGTCAGAGAAGTGAAGAGATTTGTTTTCTTTCTCTTCTGGAAGAAACGGGGTCAAGAAGAGAGGGGAGGAGAGTGGGTAGGAAAAATAGCCAAATAACATGAGGAAATCACCCAGGAACTTTAAAGAATAAGAATTCCTAAAATTGAATTTTGGATTGCATTTGCCAAAGTAAACCCTGTTTAGCCCTCTAAGACCTTCACTCGGAGGCTGTTACATGCAGAGGGTTTTTGTGAGAAAAGGTTACTTTGGGGAAACTCCACTGATTTCACTTGCATGTCAATGCTTGGAAAGATGTAAAGAAGAACTTCAAATAAAAATGTGCTAGGCAGTAAGTTAGAACTTAAAGTAACAATGAGGCTTAGAGAGGTGCCCCAGGCTTCAAAAGTGTGTGACTCAAGCCCCCTTAGTGGGCGAGTGGCAGAGTAAAGTCCATGCTCTTAATAAATGGTCATCTTTTTTCCTGTTCAGTTGCCCATCTGTGAGCTCTCCAAATCATTCTCTAATGGAAATGATAACTTTGACAATTAGGAAAAGTAAAAGGAAAGCATTAAAATAATGACATTTGAGTACCCACATGAAAAGACCATTCATAAGTTGTTGAAGGATACTTAGGTGACATCCGTGCCTATAGATCAAGTGGCAGATATTGTATCATTTGGTTGGAAAGGGAGCCCAATAGTGAACATGCAAAGAAAGGGCAAAGTAGACCCCAGGACAGAATAGTCAGCATGAGAGAAATCAAATAGAACATGGCTGGGTGTTTTTTTTAAAAAATAGGAGAATCTTAGAGGATGGAAGATGCTATCATTGATCAAATGACACAACTATTTGGTAACTAAGAATCATGGCGTGCTTAAGGTCCTGTGATAAACACTCTATGTATATTATTCCATTTAAATCTCTAAATAAACCCAGGAGGTAGATGCTATGATTATCATCATTTTAAATATGAGAAAACAGGCACAGAATGATTAAATAACTTAGCCAATGTTCATCAGGTAGGAAGTAGTATAGATGTAATTTGAATCTAAATAGCCTAACTTGAAATTCACAAAATAACTTATTAATTACTGTTATGTGCCTAATTATGTGCCATGTTAAAAGTTTCACGTGGGTTATTCATATAATGGACACAAAAATCCCTTGAGATAGGTGCTATTATTATTTACGTTTACAGGTAGTAAAACCAGGTCATTCCGGCTTGTGGGGAAAAGTAACTTATTAGTTCAAACTTTATCATAATGGATGGTACCAGGATCTTTTTATTTGTCCTGATTATAAACTTTGAACCCATAGGCAGAAAATATCCTCTCTTTATTATTCATCTATTTATTCATTCAGAGGATGCTTGCTGTATGATGACCAGATGTTATCGTTTTCCATGATAAAAAAACATGAAGCAACTTTAAGGCAGGAAACATATTTCAGCATGTCAAACTTGCTTACGTATGCCTGGACCATTTTGTGAATTATTTACGTATTCATGATCCCTGGTCACTATCAGTAGCTATGGCTTAGGTGATCTCAACTGATTTTAATATTAGTTGACATAAAGCATCATTAAAGTGATACATTGAGTACAGTTACTGGAAGATTATGAGAAGGGAAAAAGACAAGAGAAAAACAAAGGAAGGGAGTACACTTTTAAAATTATGTTTCCCAAAGCAAAAGTTTAAGCTTTCGAGAGTACGTGAAAATTGGACTGTGATGCTGTACACTCCATTTCAGATGACCATAGCACCCTCTGGTGAATAACATGTATATTTCTCTGAAATAACAAGTGGTGTGCTCCAAAATCTACCTGCTGCTTTTTAAAGTAGCTCTTCTAATTAATTGGGTTTTTTTTAAGTAAGCATATGCTCAGATTAAATTTCCTTTATAACAAAAACTACTTCATTACAAAAGTGAATTTTTTGTAACATGCAAGTTCTACTTCTGGAAAGAAGTAAGAAATACAGGGTTTGGTATCCTGGATTGCTCAAATTAGTTGCAGAACATACTAGTTTAGAGGAAGCAGTGAATTGGATCTACAAAGTTAACATACACCAACAAAATGTTTTTTGTCATTTTAATGTGTAAATTTCACATTTTCACTGGTCTGAAGTACATAAATATATCCAGGCAGCATGCTTCCCTGCCTCTTTTAGCTCTTTACTCATATGTCTGTTTCTTAGCGATGCTTTTACTGATCATCCTATTTAAAAATATAGTTCCCACCACCCTATGCTACTTCTCTGCTTCATCTCTCTCTATAGCTAGGATGACCAAATACATTTTCATCCAGTCTAAGCCACTTTTAAGAGTGAAAGCGAATGTATTAGTATTTACACTGGAACAATAGGCAATGGAAACACTGTGGCATGGTAACCTTACTCATAGCACCTATCACTTTTTAATACACTTATATATATTTTTTTTTTCATTTTCTTTCTTTTCCTGGTAAAATATAAGCTTCACAATCGGCAGGGAGTTCTCCCTGCTTGATTTTTTTTTTTCTCATTGCTGTAACCCTAGTGCCTAAAACAATGCTCATAATAAGTGTTCCGGCCGGGCGCGGTGGCTCACTCCTGCAATCCCAGCACTTTGGGAGGCCGAGGAGGGCGGATCACGAGGTCAAAAGATCCAGACCATCCTGGCTAACACAGTGAAACCCCGTCTCTACTAAAAATACACACACACACACAAAATTAGCCGGGCGTGGTGGCGGGCTTCTGTAGTCCCAGCTACTCCGGAGGCTGAGGCAGGAGGATGGCGTGTACCCGGGAGTCGGAGCTTGCAGTGAGCGGAGATCGCGCCACTGCACTCCAGCCTGGGCAGCAGAACGAGATTCAGTCTCAAAAAAAAGGGGGGGGGGTTCCTTAATATTGGGTGAATACATGAACCCTCCTGTGGTTCACTGAATAAATGAAACCACAGGAGGGTTCATTTATTCAATGTGATTGCAAATTCTTTGTCACTCACTTCATTGAGAAATGGAAGTTTTTTATCTTTCCTTTGAATCCGGGCTGGATTTCTGACTGTCTTGACCAATAGAATGTGGCAGTAATGACGCTGTGACAGTTCCAGGCCTAGCCCTTAAGAAGACTGACAGTTTTTACTTCTTGACTGTGAGAACACTTGTTTTTAACATGCTCCCTCTTGCAATCCAGCTGCCATGCTGTGAGAAGCCCAAGATTTCTCTGGTAGACCAGCCTAGCTAAGCTTTCACCCAACACCCAGGGCCAGTAGCCAGGTTTGAGTGACCCAACTCATTGCTAACTCAGTTGAATCCTCAAATGATTGTAACCCCAGCCAGCATCACATAGAAACAGAAGAACTGCCTGGCTAATTCACAATAAAATGGTTGTTGTGTGAAGTCATGATGTTTTGGATGGTTTGTTATATAGGATTAGATAAGTGAGACACCTGCTAGATACCATGAAGGACAAAAGGGAGTATGAAAAAGTGTATCTAAAGGAACTATTCATTGAAAGAGAATAAAAAGCTCATTTATATGAATAATATTTCTTTGTAAGGTGTTGACTGCCGTAAACAGCAGTTATCACCTAAGCAGTCATCACTACCATAAAAAGCAGACATTTCCTAAGCCAAGGTGACTTAGGAATTTGTAGGAAGGGTGTTCAAGGGAGGTAAAGAAAGTTTCACTAAGTTAAAGTGTTAAGAACACATCACCAGATAGAATTTAGCAACTATAGGTGGAGGGGCAGAGTTATTGGTAGAGGCAGAACTAGCAGCATGAGCACAAAGGTAAAGAGGCATGAATATTTACTGAGCTAACAACAAGAAGTTCAGTTTGGCCAGGGAATGGGCTTTATGAGGAGAAGGGAAAGCCACAAAGGAGCATTAGAAATAGGTCATGAAGTCTTAAATGTTGTGCCAGTAGCTGGATTTCTCTCACAGTTAGATGTGAGTCCGAAATTTTCTTAAATATAAGAAGAAAATAAAATCATTCTAAATTCCTCTTTCTAGAGGTAATCACTGTTAATCTTTTCTTCTTGCATTTATTTTATGGACATATTAGTGCAATTGAGAGATGGGAGACAGAATTTCTATCCTCACTCTTTCACTTAACATTAATTTCCTGATATTTATCCATCTTGTTAAAGATTCTTCGAAGATAAACTTTTAATACTTATATAAAAGCTAGCATATAAAATATAATTTCTTCAATAAATATTCCATTGGTAGATATTTACATTGTTTCCAAATCTGACTATAACTATTAGGTAAATGAACATACATTCATTCAACTATACTTGAGATAGTGCTGTTGGCCTACACCGAAGAATTTTGTAAGAAACAACTCCATGAAATATTGCTAGAGCTGACATAAGGATTTGGCTGAGAATATCAATTACATTGCATAGTTCATGTTTAGTAAGAAAAAAATTATATTTGACATGGGGAGAAAATTCTTTTTTATTATCTCATAGACAGTATGAATCATTAAATTGAATATGACTTCTTATCTCATAGACAGTATGAATCATTAAATTGAATATGACTTCTTTTTCTTTGTTTTCTTGAAATCATATGGGCAAATATGTGGCTCTTTTCTCTTTGCCTCAATTTCTTCATTCATTAGTTATTTCATATTTAATTGTAGCATGTGTATCTTTACAAATAACATTAATTATTTTTGGAGCAAAGCGGTTTGCAAATAAATAGCTGAAAAGATAAAATTAAATGAACATTATTTTAGCCATTTAGGTAAAATTAAGTAAAAGAGAATGATAATATAATGGAATTAAGTATGATATAAACTATTGAACCACAGTCAGTAAATGAATTGATAGATAAATATATCGTTTTTTACATACAAATGTGTATGGTAGAGTGGTAAAAGAAGTTATCTAAATTATATATTTACTCAGGGTCAAGTCCAAGAAAACACAGTTACTTTCCCAAATCATAATCATATGGGGAAATGAGATTTCAAAAATTCCTTGAATAAAGAAAAAGGTTTAATAATTTAAGAGAAGACAAGTGTTGCCTACATGACTTTTATTAAGAAAGAAGACTCACAGGCAGGGAGGGTAATAACTGAACAGGACTTTAAAGAGGATCCAAGTCAAATTAAATAGATGATATAAGTATTTTACCATTTGATCTCAATAGTAGACATGGTGCTCAATAAACTTGTTTCATGTCTTTAAAAATATCATCATACTAACAATATGCAACCGTATAAGTCAAATGGTGTACTGAAAGCACAAGATATTTTTATCTGAAAACATTACTACCCATGTTTTAAGAGGGTTAATTAGCTACATGACGTATCTAGTTGCCTTTCTTTGTAGATTTGAGGGAGGTTTTAGGACTAATTGAATAATTGCACAGTGGTAATGTTTTGGCTGGAATCATACTGTACCTACTTCAAGAACTTTAGCCAGTGAAAGTTAAATGCAGAATCTATTTGTATATCTATTATAATGCAAAAATAAAAAAGAGATGAAGTTTTTTTTAATTTTTATTTATTTATTTATTTTGAGACAGAGTCTTGATTGCCCAGGCTGGAGTGCAGTGGCACGATCTCTGCTCACTGCAAGCTCGGCCTCCCGGGTTCTCGCCGTTCTCCTGCCTCAGCCTCCTGAGTAGCTGGGACTACAGGCGCCCGCCACCATGCCTGGCTAATTTTTTGTATTTCAGTAGAGACGGGGTTTCACCGTGTTAGCCAGAAAGGTCTCCATCTCCTGACCTCGTGATCCGCCCGCTTCAGCCTCCCAAAGTGCTAGGATTACAGGCATGAGCCCCCGTGCCCGGCCAGAGATGAAGTTTTTAAAGAAGTAGAATTTCTTAAATTTTGAGGAGAAATGCGTAATTTATGTAAAATGCCATATTGTCCAGGAGGCAAGATTGTCAATTCAACTAATACTCCTATATTAATATAAATACCTCCATTCTCCAAAGCCATCTAGTGAAAAATTAACTAGAAACATTGAAGTGTCTTTATAATAGTTACTGCACCTGAAATTAATGTAATAAGAAAAAAGAAGGTTAGTGTATATATTGAATGATATTTCCTTTTTTTTAACTTTTAAGTTCAGGGGCACAAGTATAGGTTTGTAACATAGGTAAACTTGTGTCATGGGGGTTCGATGTACAGATTATTTCATCAGCCAGGTATTAAGCTTAGTACCCATTAGTTATTTTTCCTGATCCTGTCTCTCCTCCCACCCTCCACCTTCTGAAAGACCCCAGTGTGTGTTGTTCCTCTATGTGTCCATGTGTTTTCATTATTTAGCTCCCACTTTATAAGTGAAAACATGCAGTATTTGATTTTCTGTTCCTGTGTTAGTTTGCTGAGGATAATGGCCCCCAGCTCCATCCATGTCCCTGCAAAGGATATGATCTCATTTTTATGGCTGCATAGTATTCCATGGTATATACATACAACATTTTTAATCCAGTCTATCACTGATGAGTATTTAGGTTGATTCCATGTCTTTGCTATTGTGAATAGTGCTGCAATAAGCATGTGCATGCATGTATTTTTACAATAGAATGGTTTGTATTCCTTATCAGATATATGTAGTACAAACAAAAAGGAGCATGGTTTTGAGGACCAGATGTTGTGGCTTCAGCCCTGATCACTATGATTCAGGAAATATATAAAGCTAGTTTACATACACAGATTTTCTAATCCTCAACAACAATGTTAAGCTGTATTATGAATGAGAAAACTGGGATGGGGTTATTAATTTCTGAGATCACAAAGCACTGAGTTGGAATTCTGGTTCAAGTTACTGTAATGTCTGCATTCTTTCCACTTCACAAAAATGTGGTGAGATAGTTTGAAGAACTCTGAAGAGGCTGGAATTGTAGCCCACCACAATTTCATACATACTAGCAAAAGACATAAGATTCCTGGTTCAGAAACAAAGAGGTTTTTTACACATAGCACAGCAAGCAACATGAGTTTCATGTTTGAGTTAGTTCCCCCTTTTCCTGCCAAGTTCCATGAGGCAATGTAGAGAGGCCCAGGTGAATGCTGCGCAGATAGTGGGTTTGTCACAGCTTATGAACACTCAGTTTAGGAAACCCCCAATTTTATAAGGAGTGATGCCAGCTAACATGGTTCTCCTTTTCCCCAAAGGGAAATACTTTTTTTCAATTATTATCCTGGTCAGTAAACAAATCTGGCCTCTACCACAGGTATACCTTATCTCTATTTTTCAAGCAGGTTACGACAGTTTGATATCCAAATGTTCTTGAAAAGCTGGCCTGGAACCAAACCCTTCTTAGTCATATAGAAATGTCATGGAGAATTGTCCCACAACAACATTATCTAACGAAACATCTCAATAAAGCAGATCTCTGTGACATCTACTGGACAGTCTGACAAAGCCCCAAGCAGATGTGACTGAGTTGTTCTTGGGGTGTGTTTGCATACATTGATATCTAAATCTCATTCAAATTCAGGTCATTGAGGTTGGGGTCTATCTAATTAGCCAATACACAAAGGGACACCAAGTAGAGATGAGACTAGTACCTTGGCGAAGGACATAAGCAAAACTTGGTGAGATACAAGGGCTTCATTCAAATAGAGTATGCTTGGGGCAGAAATCCATCCTAGACAGGAAAATCTAAGCAGAAAACCAGTTGTATGAATTAAAACAATGTGTAAGGCCAAGCTCCATTCAATTTATTGAGTACTCAGGAAGTTAGGGTCTTATTCCTGGGCAGGGGCTGATTTGTTTTCTGACCAGGATAATAAAGATAATGTCTTCCTTTGGGGCAAAGGTTGTGCAGAGTAGCTTGCAGCACCAGATACTCAGATTATAATAGCAAGAATAATTCCAGGCTTTGATTTAGAAGCTGTTAATATGCTCCTTGTTCAGATTAGAATTAACTTTAAAGCTTGGAGGAATGTGCTGATGAAAGACATCATCAGTTCCAGGGAATAAAAATTGGGGGAAGCAGAAATTGACAGGAAAAAGAGATAAAAAACAAAGTTAGGAGGTCATTTTTTTCAAAGAGATAGGAAATAACCAAATGAAACATCAACAGAAAAAAAAAAAACAAAAAACTTGTGCCTTTCTTTACATGCTAAAGAGCTGCAATCTTTGCCCAGAAATTAGAAGTGAAATGTCAAGCCAGCTCAATAGCAAAGCCTACCTGAAAGGAGAGCCAAAGAATTAAAATTTGCAGAGAAAATGTTCCCTCCTAGCTATTTAAAACAAAACATTATTAAAGAACTCAGTTAAATGAGACCTAAACCGGATTAAATCCAAAGTACTACTTTTTTCTTGTTAACTCCCTAATTACTGGGTACCTAAATGTTTGCAGGGTCTTAGGAATGCTGTTTAAAGGCACTGTATCATTGGGAAGATTATCATCTTTTTGCATAATTTTTACTCTGGTGAGCCATCTTAGAGTCTGTTATATGCAAGTCCTGCAATCATTTATTGTAAAAGGTAATATCATCTGCTGTAACATACTGCAGTCATTTCCATAATAAAAGTTACACTTAAGGCTGACAATATCACTTATTAAAAGGAAGGTATACATATGTATCTCCAATAAATTTCTGAAAATAACTGAGAATAAGCTAAGGGACATGGTTTTTCTCTACTTATGAGTCACGGTATGCTCTTGCTTTAATTTAAAGTTTTGAGAGGGCTGAGGGACCAAGACCAATAACCGCTTATCATCAAACTTTGTGTGGAATAAAGAATAATTTTTATTTTAATCTCATAGAATTGATAAAGGGAATGAGGAGAGATAATTTTTGATTCAAATAACTTTAACTTTCTTATGTTTAATAATACTGCTTGCATAGAAAACACATATGAAAGAATATAAAAAATAAGAAGAAATCTGTTCCATTTTCTCAGCCATGATTTGCTGCCTTAGAAAAAGTGGCATTTTAATTAAATTCACTAATATAGTATTTAAAAAATCAAAAAGTTATAGTTGGTTTCCAAATTTTTAGTCAAATGAAAAAGCTTTTTATACTACCAGCTTTAACAATCATCAATGTAAAATTTTCATTTTAAAACTTGTTATATATGGAAAATTATTTTTATAAGCTATTTCAAGGTCTATTGTCACAGTTTCTTCTGTATCTCTTAAATGTATAAGATCAAAGAAAAGATAAGTTTTAATGACTTATTTAAGTTCACTTTAATTACTATATAATAAGAGTTCCATAATTCCTAAAATAAATGTGATCTTTGTTTTCAAGACTGTTTCTTGAAAAATTTTGGTAGGTTAAAAAGTATTTTTAAATCTCAATATTGCATTTAGTATTTATTCATAACATATCTAAAGTGAGAAAGTCAATGTTAGAAACCCAGAAGACAAAAGTAAGTCGATCTACGGAAAATATTAATATGCCACAGCTTTCCATTTAGCACAACTGAAGTTATGAATTTGTGGTGCTAAGAATGTAATAAGATTATCTGGGGAAATTAGCTCAGGTCGAAGAAAAATATTTTTAACAATCTGTGGGAAAGAGAATTTCTCAGCAAGTGTGGAAAGATGCTTAAGTCTAAACCAAATGTTTTAAACCACCAAATCTCAAAGTGCTAGAAATGTGGGACCTGGAGGTGATGACTGCTCTTCCAAACTATAAGAATGTAAACACATCCGGGGGGTATATGTGCTGTGAGTCTCTGAGTTAGAACATCAGAACAGAGTCACAGATCTGTGATTCCTGGGCTTGACTTTTCCTAGATGAAAAGATTAGAAAAGTAGCAGATAAGCAGCAAAATCTCAGACTCAAGGTTAGATTGTTTATAAAACATGGGTAGTTAGATTTGAGCTATAAAATTAATGAATTCTTGACTTCTTACTTTCACACACTAGAACTTCGCCATGAGCAGGCAACCATTAACATTTAACATTAAAAAAAGTTAAACAGATTTACCCACCAATTTAATAAAAGAAAAACCTTTATTCTAAATATAGAAGGGGAAAATTATGCAGCACATATAAAGGAAACTAGATTTTTACCTTTTAAAATCTTTTTGTGAAAACATCCCATCTACTCAATATTGTTGAATCATAGAAAAAAAAAAAACAGCACTAGACGGAAGTACTTTTTTTTTTTTTTTTTTTTTTGAGACAGAGTCTCACTCTGTTGCCAGGCTGGAGTGCAGTGGCACGATCTGTTTTTTTTGAGACGGAGTCTTGCTCTGTTGCCAGGCTGGAGTGCAGTGGCGTGATCTCAGCTCACTGCAACCTCTGCCTCCCCGGTTCAAGTGATTCTGCTGCCTCAGCCTCCTGATTAGCTGGAATTACAGGTGCCTGCCACCATGCCCAGCTAATTTTTTTGTATTTTTAGTAGAGACGGGGTTTCACCATGTTGGCCATGATGGTCTCGATCTCTTGACCTTGTGATCTGCTCTCCTCAGCCTCCCAAAGTGCTGGGATTATAGGCGTGAGCCACCTTGCCTGGCCTGGAAGTACTATTTTTAAAAGAATTTTACTGAACAGAAGTCCTCTGACTTCAGCAAATTTTTAAATCCAATTTCAGTCTCTAAATAGATTAAAAGAAACAGATTTGAAGGTGACATAATTTATAAAGAAAAACACCTTCTTACCCTGACAATAGTAAGTGACTACAGTGTCAAATCCTCATCACCCACTCCCAGCTGAGGCCATGTCCTTTACCCCCTTGTGATGTTTCTCATCAACCTTGCTGAAACCAAGCCAATTACCTCTGAGGACCCTAAACCAAAGCGACTGACCTCAGAATTGGAATATTTCAGGCCATTCAATTCTGGTGTACATCTTTTAACTCTTTTAATTCTTTGTCATTGCCTTTTTCCTGGACTTTCCCTTTTTTACTCTCATTACCTAACTACTTTATGCTGTCTTCACAACTTCTGCACAATTAATTGCCTCTCTTCCTGCTGCTCTCCTCTTGCAACCCGAATTCATGACCATATAGCTTGGACGTACCATGAATTATCATCTCCAACCTCAGCTAGAGCCTTAGAACTGCCTGACAATCCTGCTATGATATCCCTATCAGTGTGTGTGTGTGTGTGTCTGTGTGTGTGTGTGTGTGTGTGTGTGTGTGTGTGTGTATCTAGAAGTCCACCTTTATTTGCTCATAGATATGCAATGCTAGGAACATGGACAAGAAAGATTTTATTTTGTGGCAACCAAATAGGAAATTTTTTAAAACAATGATGAATATGTAAATAAACTATAGTTAATTTTGTTTTGTTTTTACCGTTTATTTTTGATTCTGGAGGTATATGTGCAAGTTTGATATTCAGGTATACTGTGTGATGCTGAGGTCTGGGGTACAAATGATCCCATCACCCATGTACTGAGCATACATCGTACCCAAGAGGTAGCTTTTCAACCCTTACCCTCTCTAGTAGTCCCCAGTGTCTATTGTTGCCATATTTCATCAGTTATTTATAGCTCATTTGTTCTTAGTATCATTTATTTATTCTTCTAAGTCTAGATGCAATTTGCCAATCAAGGGTCATCATTTTTATCATAATCAATATTGTCAAAAATACAATTGATGTATCACGTTTACTAGGCTCTCAGGGGAATAAAGATAGAAAGTTCACAAAATATTAACTTTTATGTAGAAAACTGAAAGGTTTTAATAACTCTTTAGCACAAAATGTTATTGGTAGAGTTCTGTTTCCATTTCTATTTTTCACACGAGTACATAATCTTTTGGAGAAAAATAGCTTTCCTAAACTCCCTAGGAGCCTAAAACTAATCCACAACTGAAAGTAGAGTTTAATGTTGAAGATCAGAAAACACTGGTGTCACAAATTATACAATTATAATACAAATGCTGTGTTCTGATTAAGGAAGCAAATGTATGATATATATTTTAGTTATATTTTCTTTAAATTTGGCTTAATATTTGGAAAGTTTTTATATTTAAATGGGTAATTTAGTTTCAAAAATGTGTTAAGTCTCTGTGATTGACCAATAATGGCTCCCAAGGATATTCCCATTTACTGATGCCTGGAACCTGTGAATATTAGTTTATGTGGCCAAAAAAAAGTGATTCAGTTAAGATATTGAAAAGGGAAGCTTATGCTGGATCATAAAGGTAGGCCCTAAATACAATTATATATATTCTCCTAAGAGAAAGGTGGATAGAGTTTTGAGACAGACACACATAGAAGTCAGTGATGTAAAGATGATGGCAGAGACTGCAGTGGTGTGGCTACAAACCAAGGAATGCCAAAGATTGATGGCAGCACCGGAAGTCAGAAGAGGCATGAAACAGATGCTCTCCCAGAGTTTCCGGAGGGAGTGTGGCCCTGATGGCATTTTGGTTTCAGATTTCTGGCTACTGAACTGTGAGAGAATGAATTTCCAATGTTTTAAGCCACCTCATTTCGGGCAATTTATTTCAGCAACCACAGGAAACAAATATAATATCATATATTTTGTTATATATTATATAACAAATATAATATTACATAGTGCCTAACACACAATCACTATGTGAGTCTCTAAAAGACACTAAGATTTTTGTAAATAGTTTGAGGGAACGAGTGCATGTTTCCCGAGGACTATTAACTCCCAATTTTTTCAAGGACACTAATATAGAAATAAAAATCATAACACAGTATGATTTATATATTGAAAACATAAATTAGATCCATGAAAACACAAAGAAAAGAGTTATTAAATGATATGGAGCCAAATAACACATTAGAAAAGGTAACTTTGAGAGTGAGTAACTTTGAAGATGACTAAGAGTTCATTAAGCAGAAAAAGTAAAGTGTGGCCACATAGAATAGAATATGAGACTCAAAGAATTAAAGAAGCAAGATAGGTCCAGAGAATAGTGAGCAAATCAAAATAGCTCATAAGTGATAGGGGAATTGAAAGGATATGAAGCAATGCATTATTCTTTAGACAATGGGAAGTCACAAAAGGTTTTCAGCAAGAGCCCAGCATGCCCTGATTTCTGTGTTAAAAGATAACTCTGAAGCATTTATATGGAAAATTCACTTAAGTGGAATAATTCATTCCCCCAATGATGCTCAAAAAATGAAGTGTTACCTTACTAAGTTGGTTCCAATACCAGGCAATGAATTTTCATTTGTTTTGGCAATATAGTGACAAGCTAGTATGCTTAAATTCAACTCCTAGACAGGTTATTAAAATTTCTTTATTCAGCCAGAATAGAATTTTCAGTTCCTTTCATTCCTAAAAGAGTAGGTAGATTCAAATAGGGGGCCTCAATTTAATACAGGAAAGTTTATTTAAAAGTATCCAAATGGGTTTTTTAAGCAGCAGGAATCTGGGAAATGCAGCTTTCCAAAAAAGGTTTCCTATATCCTGATTTTTCCCTCTTTAAATACTAAGTAATGTTCTCCAAAGGCTATTGAGTGTAGAATAAATTCATTATGGCCTCATGGGTAAGAAATTATTAACCTAATTGAGTCCACAACTTATTCTTCCAGAAAAGAAAAAAGAAATCCTTAAGAAAGAAAACTGTTAAGGACTTCTTAAAGGCTAATAAACGCTGATGTTAAAAAATATGGAAAGTAATGTAAACATGTTACTTCTGTTAAGCAGTGGCTATGTTGTACCAACAATGATCTTGCAGTTCTCACTGTGGAAGTAAAGAGAAGTAAAACTACTTCCTAAAGTAGCTACAAGTAAGTGAGCAGAACTTAGAGACAAAAGTCTACATTTTTTGAGTTTAATGAATAATGCAGAAATGCCAGACCAAATACACATTTTGAAACTGTTTTGTTCATCCAACTTGGAGATATTTATTACTTAATGAGCCTATTTTTTAGAACTTCAGTGCTCAAGCCAACTGTTGATGACTGACCAAGAATTACAAAAGCAGTAGTCTTTAATTCTCGGCATTAGCAGCAGCCCACGAAACTTTGAGACCATGACCCAAGTTATACTTCAAAGACAAATGTTTCTATTTTCAAGAATTAAACCAAACCATAGATCTCTGCTGCACTTTTTCCCTTGATCAATAAAGCCGAAAGTAAAGCAAAGGGCCGGCAATTATCTGAGAGTACAGACAATGAACACAGCCAAACCAGTCTTTTATTTTTGCCAGAATATTCTAGATTTACCAGTTAACTGCTAACTCTACATTTCGTGTTTTGCTTTGCTGACCCTAGTAAGTCTTGCTTCTTTTTTTAATCACCCCAATTGTACATACGGAAAGTTCAATGAATGGACAAGAAGATAAAACAACTGTTAATGAATTTATCACTGTATTTTGTACTGGTGATAAATCTACTTGTAAAATTCATGATTCTCAATGGATGAGTGAATGGAAAAAATAATAGTATTTGAAAAACAGTATCTACTGTTCCACTCTATGACACAGTATAGAATTGGCATGAAGCAGAGAAAAACGTCAACAGTCCTTGCTCTCCCAGTCAATAAATCTAACTTTACTGCTGAATCAAAATTTTACAGCCACAAGGACACATGTAATACAATAGTAGTTTTTAAAAAAGATAGCGGTGAGGGTGTTGATAAATATGTGTTGGAAACAGGATGTTGGACTCAAAACCTACCTGAGAGAACCACTGTTTTCCAGCAAAGGCCCACACCCTACACATAGCTAGTTTATTCTAACCTTGATCATATTTCTCCTTAATCCATATAGTTGTGTTAATTCCTCTGAGTTTCAATTGTTCATTATAGTGCTTATTATGTACAAAGCATGGTAAAAGACATTAAGTAGGTATGTTGAGGTTAGTGACCATGTAGTATGGGGACAGGAGTGAGGATCTCTGAGAACCGTTTGCAAGGTTTCCAGTTGGTAATAGCTCCTGTGGGTGTATGTGCCTGTGTGTGTGAGGAGGAAGAAAACGGGATGGGAAGATGGTTTGAATGATTCCCTGATAGATTTTTAAAAATATTTTCAAGCTAACAAGTGTGTGTGTGTGTGTGTGTGTGTGTGTGTGTGTGTGCGCGCATACAGTTTTCAATTCTTTCTTGTCCTAAGATCTAAAGAGTTTGTATGTTTAGAATAATCTTGCAATATTATCAAATTCGTACCTAGATATAAGTCTTGAAAACCTATAGGACTATTGGCTCTCAGCAGGCCTGTTTTATTCTTCTAGAGTCCTAGTCATGCTTCTGAAGCAATATCTGAAGCAATATTAAATTTAAGGATCTCAAAGTAAAAAGAGCATTCAATTAAACATTTGTTGGATTCAGGAAAGATTTACAAAACAAATAAAATTTGAACTGCATTTTCAAGGTTAAAGAGATATTTTCCAGGAAAAGAAGAGCAAATGAATATTCTAGACAGAGGAAAATACATGCTCAAAGGTACAGACATTTGGAACAGCATGGAAATTTTAGGGAAGAGAAAGTAGTTCTGCAAGGCAGTAGATGTCCAGAGAAGTGAGAGAAGATTAAACATAAGTCAAGCCCGTGCCTTTTGCCTCCCACATGGCAAAAGCTCAATCTCGGATTCTCGTCCTGATTCTACACTCCCTTCTTCTGTGTGCATTTCAAACACATTCCCCAAATCTTTATCCCTAAATGCCTACCTTTCACTCTTGCTGATCCTGTACCTCTAGGCAGCATGTTGTATTAGCAAAAGCACCAGTTTGGAACTGGACAGAACTGGGTTTGAATCACTGCTTACTAAAGTAGTAGCTGTGTGGCCGTAAGAAAGTTACTATATCTCTGTGTCCAAGTTTCTTTCCATATAAAATGGAAAAAATAATGCCTTTACAGTTGTGTTATTCTAAAAATTTAATGAGTGTCTCTTAAGAATATGTAATATGTATTTATGACTTTAAAACAAAGTTAGCTGTCCTTTTCCACTACTATAAGAAAGCTCTAGAAAAAAAAAGTATGCCTTTCAAAGGCAGATCATCCTTATGTGAATTCCAGCTTCTTCACTTACCAGCTACATGGTCTTGGGCTTAACTCTCTGATGCTCTCTTTTCTTATGAATAAAAGATAAATAAATAAATCCAATCTCAGAAGGTTATACGGATTAGATATAGTGTATTAGGTTGGTGCAAATGTAATTGTGGTTTTGGCCATTAAAAGTAATGTCATTTGGCCACTACTTTTAATGGCCAAAACTGCAATTACTTTTATGTCAACCTAATACCTCTCCTGTTGTCTGGCAGTTGTGGTTTCTCTTCTCCTGAATATTCTTTCAACACCTATGAGAATATGCTGACAACTGCACTTAACCTTTCCATTGAACCCTGACCAATGTCTTAAGTAGGGGTGATTGCATCACCATCTTCATCTCACACTCAACACCCTTAATGTCTAGGCAGTCACTAGCTATTACTTCTTTCCTCTATCTTAAGGATTGTTAACACCCAACAATATTCTAAAAGTCAAATAGCAAATGGAAAGAAAACTGATGAGATTCCGTTATAGCTCTCCCTAACATTGACTAGAAAATAAAATATATGTTCCAGTAATAATAAGTATGGTGGAGAGTTCGGTCCATTAAAAATTTATAATTAAAGACATAATATGGATCAATTATTTAAAATAAATCTCAAAATTCTACAATCAAGATTGCAGTCTAGTGAAGGGAAAGGAAGGATCCCATGTACCAAGCAAAATACATAGCACATAATTAATGTTATTCTTATCATTTATCTTTGGAAATTAGGTAGGTATCAGTATCCTCATTTTTATACAAATGTAACTGAGTCTTACAGTAGTTAACTTGTCCAAAATCATCAAAAAAATAGAGTTCTCTTCAAATAATTGTTATACTTACTTTAAAATATCAGTTGGCTATTTCATCAGTCTGCAGCTCTCTCCTGTGTAATAGCATAACACATTTATATATGTTGTATTAAACCCCCTCCAGCTTCAAAAACATTTTATTTTTCATTGAGGAAAATATCTCATTATCTCTCGAATTTCATAGCTTGGTAACATGGCATAGAAAGACAAGCTAATCTATAGTAGAAAATAGTGTGTCTAGTTCCTACAGACAATTTAGGAGTATATTCAACCTAACTGTCTTATTTATAATGGTCAGAATAGCATATAAAATAACTTTCAATCCCATAAAATGGAATCAGATCTATTTCCAGCCTTGGGTCAATCATGTCGTTAATGTGTCTGGGTTTCTGCAAACAGCGATAATTCAAATATTTTAATATGCCAAGAAAGTCCTTTGAAACTTTGTAACAATATTCAAATAATTGATTTAAATGCAAAAAGCTTTAATATCATATCTGAAGAAAAAGTCAAATCTATGAATTAACATATAAGTAACAAAGTCTTAGAGTAGCATAGGTAATCATTGCCACAAATGACAGTCATGTTGTTGGCCATCAAAGTTTAAATAGAAGATTCTATATGCCATGATTATATTAGAAATGTTGAAAAAGGGCATTTTATAATATTGCTTTTAGACAAAATACATTTATAAATATGGTATCAATTGAGAACTGACTAGTCATAAATCTATTTATGAGAAAACAGGAATTAAGAGACACATGAAATAAGTGAAATTATCCTCTTCTATCTTGTTTTATTAATGAAAGTTTCTAACATGGTTCCAATCAATGGGAAGATCTTTGTGAATTCTACCTTTATGAGTCTGATTAGAATTTTTTAATCCCACAAAACAACAAAAGTGAAATCTGTTGAATAATATAATTCCTTTCTCTAAATTATTTTTCCAAATTCTCTGCCAAAGCAAACACATAGTACGTGTTAGTCAGCTGGGTCTGCATCAAGTCATCAGTTGCATGAACTGCACTGATTTTGTTGCCAAACCTATTACACTAAATCCCACTCCAAACATCCTTTTAAGCTGCAGAACATTCTAAATGCAGCTTGAATGTACAATATTTTTATATTTTTTTAGCAACTTTTGGGAGTGTTCCTCTTGGATAGAGCCCACATTCTAAATTCTTTAGGTACCTGCTAACAGGAAGGTAAAATATAGACCTTTGTCTTCTGGCACGAAGCATAGAGAAGGGAAAAAGCTCATTTTCTTTATTTTTGTTAAGATTTTATTTAAACATTTCTGAAAACAATAGGAGCTGTTAGAATAGTTTGACAAGAAATGTTATCAGATGGTTGAAATCCAGGATTTTAATGCACATTTAATATACATTGTATTCTTTCTCCTACTGACCCATGTCGCTGAAAAAAGTCACTTTATCACAAAATAGAAAGTACTCATTCATCCTACGGTACTTTTAACCTCACATTAAAAATATAATATTTATTGCTATCTGTTTTTCAAAGATAAGGTTGATAGTAATGATTATCATCTCATTGTTTCTGAAGAAAAAAAGATCTAGAGGAGAACAGTAGCTCTTTCCATGAATAAACATAAATTTTTATTATAACAACAAAAATGCAATCATTTAACAGCCATGATGTGATGCGAGTTGGCTACAATTACCAAAAGCTTGTGTTCACAGTTTATGCATATTCAAATTCTTAATTTAAAATGTTAAATTGAGCAAGTTTCTAAGGTTTGCCTACCTAATTTGGATATAATGTACAGTTATGTGACACTTCACAATGAAGGTGTGTTCTAAGAAAGGCATCATTAGGTGATTTGATTTCATCATTGTGCAAAATACAGTATACTTACACAAACCTAGAGGGTAGATCCTACTACACACCTAGGCTACATGGTACAGCCTATTGCTTCTAGGCTACAAACCTGTATAGCATGTTACTGTACTGAATACTGTAGGCAATTGTAATACAATAGTAAGGATTTGTGTCTTTAAACATATCTACATAGAAAAGGTAGAGTAAAAGTATGGCATAAAAAATAAAATATGGTACACCTGTACAGGCCGCTTGTCCTGAATTGAGCTTACAGAACTAGAAGTTGCTTTGGGTGAGTCAGTGAATGAGTGGTGAGTGAATTTAAAGACCTAGGATGTTGCTGTATACTACTATAGACTTTGTAAACACACTGTACACTTAGGCTACACTCGATTTATTTTTTAAATTTTCTTTCTTCAATAACAAATTAACTTTAGCTTACCATAACTTTTTTACTTTAAAAATTTTTGTTAGTTTTTTGTCTCTTGTAATAACACTTAGGTTAAAAAAAACATATTGTATAGGAGTGCAGTGGTGCGATCTCGGCTCACTGCAACCTCCGCCTCCTGGGTTCATGCCAGTCTCCTGCCTCAGCCTCCTGAGTAGCTGGGACTACAGGCGCCTGTCACCATGCCCGGCTAATTTTTTGTATTTTTAGTGGAGACGGGGTTTCTCCGTGTTAGCCAGGATGGTCTCGAACTCCTGACTCGTGATCCGCCCGCCACAGCCTCCCAAAGTGCTGGGGAAAGTATTTTCTTTATATCCTTATTCTGTAAGCTTTTTTCTGTTATGTATAACAAAAGAAAATACTTTTGATACACACACACACACACACACACACACACACATATATATGTATAACTTTTAAAACTTTTTTGTTAAAAACTAAGACACATACATACACATTAGCCTAGGTCTACATAGGGTCAGGAGCATCCACATTATTGTCTTCCACCTCCACGTCTTGTCCCATTGGAAAATCTTCAGGGGCAATAACGGGCCTTATGGGATGGTGGTCCCATAAGATTATAATAGAGCTGAAAAATTCCTATTGCCTAGGGATGTTATAGTGCAGTGCATTACTCATATATATATACATATCTGTAAAAAAAAACTAAAATAAAAATAATATGTGTAGCATAGTAAACATAAACCAGTAACATAGTTATTAGTATCAAGTATTATGTACTACACATAGTTGTTTGTGCTACATGACTGGCAGCACAGTAGTTTTCTCTACACCAGCATCACCACAAACACGTGAGGAATGGAATGCTTTACACTACAGCATTCCTAGGCAATAGGAATTTTTCAGCTCTATTACAGTTTTATGGGACCATCATCCTATACCCGTCTATCATTGATCAAAATGACCTTATGTTGTGGCTTTTTCTCTCCCATAGTTCGGCAAGTGGGAGGGAGTGTTAGCGCTCATTTACTCCTGCCACCTACAGCTAGCAAGCAGGAGTGCTACAGTTCTTTCACTCCCAGTTTGGCAAGTTCCGGGTTCTTGTCCTGCAACCAAGAGGAATAAAAATAAAGTACACGGACACTGGAGAGTGAGTAAGGCAGAGTAGAATTTTACTGAGCAACGGAAAGTAAGCTGTCAGCATGGAGAGGGGACGCTAAAGTGGGTGGCCATCTGTGAGGCAGAGTCTCAGGTTTTTTATGGGCATAGAATGGGGGAGTGAGTGCTAATTGGTCCATGAGTCCAAATTATCCGGGACTGGCAATTTGGTTTTCAGGCTTTAGGCTGTCCTTGGCTTGAAAGCCAGGTTTCAAAGGGGACCCTCCCCTGTGTGCCTAGGAATTTGTCTGTTTTCCCGTCACTATCAATTATGTGGTACATGACTGTAATTCAACGTAGCATCATATAAAAACATTCACTTTTAGCCAATGATTGAGAACATCAGAAGAAAACATCCACAAACCACCACATTTCCCATATCCTTGGATCTTGTCCCATCTACTCTGTCTTCCCTGTGTTTAAAATGCATGAACTGTTTATCCTTTGTTCCCAGCAAAGGCTGACCTCTCCACTTGCATTCTAATCTCATCTACTCTCTCCAACACAAGAATATTGATTCAACAATTCTTATTTTTCTCTCCTACATTATCAACTCTTCTACCTCTTTTGGGTTTTCCATCAATACATACAAATGTTGATGTTTTTTCCATATAAAAATATTCCTCTTAGTACCTCAAAACACTCCATGTACCTTCTTTTCTTTAGAAGTAAAACTCGTCAAAAGATTGTCTCTTCAAATTCTCTCTTGAAGCCACTCTACTGGAGTTTTTCTTCTACAACATCACTGAAACAGTTCTTTTTGAGGTTGCCAATGACCTTCATACTGGTAAACCCAATGGCCAATTTTCAGTTCTTATATTACTTGACTCCTTCCTCAAAGGCATTTTATACCGTTGATCACGCCCTCCACCTGTAGACATATTCTTTGACTTCAGTTTTCCACAATCCTGGTTGATCTCCCTTTTCAACCACACTTTATTTTCCTTTGATGTTTCCTCTTTACCTTCCCAACAACTTCTGAATGTTGAAATAACCAATGATTTAATTCTTTTATCTCTTTTATATTCTCACTTATTTACTTTCATTCAGTCTTTTCTATGCACTGATGTCTCCCAATGTAGTCTGAACCTCTCCTCTAAACCCCAGGCCCAATTACACATCATATCTCCACTTGGATGTATAAAAGACATGTTGGTTTTTTATATGCAAAGCTAAACTCCTCATCTTTAACCTCCCTCCAAATCTCCTCTTATCCATCTCATATAACGGCAATTCCATCCTTTCAGTTGTTTACAAAATATCTTGCCATCCTTTACAACATTTTTTCTCTTAACTCACATTGAATCTACAGAGAATCCCATCAGCTCTACCTTCAAAGTACATCCAAAATCCAATGACTTCCCACTACCTCCTCCATACTTAGTATCCCAAGGCCTCTTAATTATTGCCAATAACCTCCTCAGTGGTTTCTCTGCCTCCATTCTCTCTCCGCTTTAACCCTGTCTCAATATTGATAAAATTTAGGTCAGATCGGCCGGGCGCGGTGGCTCACGCCTGTAATCCCAGCACTTTGGGAGGCCGAGGCGGGTGGATCATGAGGTCAGGAGATCGAGACCATCCTGGCTAACAGGGTGGAACCCCATCTCTACTAAAAATACAAAAAAAAATTAGCCGGGCGCGGTGGCGGGCGCCTGTAGTCCCAGCTACTCGGGAGGCTGAGGCAGGAGAATGGCGTGAACCCGGGAAGTGGAGCTTGCAGTGAGCCGAGATTGCGCCACTGCAGTCCGCAGTCCGGCCTGGGCGACAGAGCGAGACTCCGTCTCAAAAAAAAAAAAAAAAATTAGGTCAGATCATGACACTATTCCCAAAATTCTCCAGTGGCCCCTCATCTCACTCAGACAAAAAGGTAATTTAAGTGCAATGGCCACAAGGTCCTATGCAATCTGGCTACCTTTGCCTTTCTCATCTCATCTTCTACAATCCCACTTATTTACTCTATTTTAGTTGTGCTGTCCTTCTTAATGTGCTTTGAACTTGCCAGGCATTCTCCCACCTCACAACCTCGCACATGCTTTGTCCTCTCCTTGAAACATTACCCTCTATCTCATGGCATGTTTCCCTCAGCTCCTTCAGGTTTAATACGTGTATTATCTTCTCAGAGTGGTCTTCCCTGAATATACTATATATAATTGCAATCCTTCCTCTCAACACCATCTATCCCCTTTTCCTTGTTTCTCTTTGGCACCCATCAAAATCTAAAATACTGTATATGTTATTTAGTTAGTTTCATTTCTTTCTCACCCCACTTGCAAACTCCAGGAGAGCAGTGTTTTTTGGTGTATTTTGTTCACTCCTATAGACCCACTGCCTAGAAAGTTGTTCCAAATATTATAGGTACTCAATAAATATTTGTAGAATAATTCCATAAGTAAGGGGTGAAGTCCTATGATAATTGAAAGGACAGATTTTGGATGTATGTGAATCCTGCCCCTGCCTCTTACTAAGTAATTTATCTTGAACAATTACTTTTTCTGAGCCCTAATTTCCTCACTATAAAATGGATTTAAGCCAGGTGCAGGGATGGTGTGCCTGTAGCCCCAGCTACTTGGGAGGCTGAGACAAGAGGATCACTTCAGTTCAGAAGTTCAAGACCATCCTGGGCAACATATGACAACAACCCCCCCATCTGTAATTTTATAAATAATACTAATAAAATAAAATGGATATAATGGTACCTAGCACTCAAATTTTTTATAAATTTGGAAGAAAATAATAAAGTATAAGCAAAATAAAACAGGGAAATGTTTTATTTGCAGTGAGATTGATATTGACTATCAATAAAGAGTATTAAAGATTCCCCAAATATATGTTGTAAAGTCTTTTAACTATTAATTAATTTAATAAATTCATTTTACTCAAAATTATATTTCACTAAATGCTATTTTATACTAATAAAATACTAAGTAAAATTTGATATTAAAAGACAATTAAGAAAATTATAGTACATGTTCATCAGTTTTTAATTGTATAATCTAATTTTCTAAAAAATATTTTAGATATACTTTCCATAAAGGTGCTATGTTTTATTTTAATATATAATTATAACATTCAATAAAAGCATTTTAAATATTAAAATAAATTCTGATGGCAATTATTTTGGTGATCATGAAACTTATAAGCTTTATTTTAATGTTAGTCTTCATTGTGTCTAATGGTCCTCAGCCATTGAGCTTACAGTAGAAATTAATCCACCATTTTGCTTCTTATCCTAACATAGAATTTCTCTGCTAACCCACATTCATTTCCAAGGTAAAGAGGATGCAATTGACAAAATCCAATAGCGGCTCCATTTTGACAGACATGGAATTTTATTATCTGTGGATTTCTCTGTCTTCTTACTGTTCAGTATCCAAGATGATTTTCACCAACTCAAACTCCAGAAAAATAAAAAATAACTTTTTTCTACCAAAAAAATAGATTAAGTCCTCCTGATCTAATCTACTCCTCTTAATAGAGAAATAGAGAAGTGAGCACAGACACTCCAAGTAGCTCAGGTTCACAAAGCTAGTTTATTAAAAAATTAGACTTTGAATTCATTTTGCCAAAGCCCAATCCCTATTTTGAAACTTTTTATATACTTTACAGTCTCAATAACCTTTACTCTAGAGTTATGCATCTTAACTGCGGCATTTCCCTTTCTTACCTTAACATGCATACGTGTGATTCTAACAAACATTTTACCTTTGTTGAACATTGTGAATGGAACATTCCATGTGTCACTAAATATTGTTTTCAGGCCATCATAGATTTATCTTATTGGTACAGAAAAAGTTTGGGAGAAAAAATGTATTTCAGTTGTTAACTTTTTAATTTCCTTTTTAAATTGCAATGTAAAAGTAAGTTGAATGTCTAACAATTAGTTGTTTGCATTTTTATTGATAATTCTTACTTTTTATGAGTGTCTTATAATTCCCAACCATGGTCCTAAAAGAAAGAAAACCTGCTCTGCACCACATCTCAACAACACAACATGAATTTGAACAGAGGTTTAACTGCAAAGCTCTTTCTATTAACTGTGCTAACACATGAATTAATTGTATACCATGAAGAGCACTGTGTACTTTCTATAATGAAGAAAGCTTTAAAATAATCCGATGTATTTATTTATCCCTTCTATTTGTGCCTCAAAATATTCCATTTCATAGCTCTTATCTAAGGAGGGTTATTCTAAGATTTTTGGTTAAAGATTATGTTGGATGACATCATTAATTTGAAAGAGATGTCTTTTCAAAAAATGCAATTGTAACTTTTTCTCTAAAAGTATATAAACTTTGTAGTTATAATAATTTTTACTCCTAGCAAAACAGTTTGCTGATAACTAATGCTACCACGCTTATAAACTGTTACCTCCATATCAAAGGACATTTGTATTCAGCAATAGCACATTTGTGGTTTAGGATGTGACATTCCATTTAGTTACACTAACAGTGGTGCAGTAACCATACTAATATTGACTAATGTGGGTCTCCATTTCAAATGAAGTTTGTAGTGTAGAATGATTTGGTGAACATTGTAAATCTCTTTCTAATTCTTCACTATTATATACAACCAAATGACATGTTATTATACTTTGTGATTGATAGAATAATTCCTGATAGCAACATAAACTTTTTAAAGTCTTCACATTTAAAATATTAGTGGAAAACTCCAATATCCTTACTGGAATAAAAACTTGGAAATGTAAATTTCAGTCATTGATAAAGACCTTTCAATGGGCATGCAGCTTTTAATCCAAATGAAGTGAAATATTTAATGTATTAGTATGTATCCACTTAGGAAACATAGGAGTGGAGAAAAATAATGAGAGAAACTTAATGATGAAAAATAATGTCTTAGGAGTGTTTAAATTTCTGGAATCTACTGCCCTCCTGCCTTGCCAATGTCAGAAATGTTCTAAATGTATTTGGCTCACAGTTAAGGTATGCATACACAGTTTGGAGTTCTTCAGAATTTGCCATGAGTCATAAATTAGTTTTGCCTTGACTTCACCAACTGTGTAAAATGACCTTTTTAAAATCATATTTTTTAAAACTATGGTTTCTTTTATGAGAATTCAATAGGATTTCTATTGTTGATCTTGATTTGCCTTGATTCAGTTTTAATATTTTATATGCAAACTTAAGATTTTATCATTTAATGAAAATTTAATTTTATATATATATATCACTACTAGGTCTTTGAAAATGGTGAGATTTTTTCAGTAGCTACTATGGAAATAAAACATCTCAATAGTAAATCATATCACTAAAATCAGTGTTATCTACACAGTGAATCAGATTAAATCCACACAACATGTTTATAGACTGAAAAAATTTTGAGAAGATAGTAAATTCACTATATCTTATAAATCTAGCCATTTCCTGACAGTTCTTTGTAAACATGAATTATTTATTTCACTTTTATGTTTTGAAGGTTGATTTATAATATTGTAGAAAATGGCAAAAATATTTTGTGTCACAGAATATTTTTAAGTTACATAAAATATCTCATTTAATACAGAAAAAAATAAATAGGAAATATACAAATGCAAAATAGAATTAAAATCCCCTACATCCCAAAACACTATCTACTTTTATAGAAAATAGTTATTCAGAAAAATATATCCACACTTATGTTATATTTTAGAGATGTTAGATTACCAGGATCCTAAAAGGATGATTTAGTGAAGAGACAGATATGTAAATAAATAAATTACATAAGTCTGTAAAAGGATATAAGAGAAGAGTAAAAAAAAAAAATCTGAGAGTAAAAAAAAAATTCTGAGAGCAAATGACCTAGCAGCTCATTTTCTTGGGAAATTAAGGTAATTTTAATAGACGATATAAAAGCGGAGTTTTAGGGTATGAGTAAGAGTTTCTCAAACAATTTAAATAGAACCTAATTAATATAGGAAGACACATGGGCTTTGCCCTATAATAAATATAATGGAATCTGATGCTTTCACATAGAAAAGAGACATTATTAGATTGAGATTACAGGATGAAAAAAATATCCAGAAATAGAGTGGAGCATGGGTTTAAGGGAGCAGAAGATTAAAGGCCAATAATTAGATGCTTTCTGTAAAAGAAGCTGGAAGAATAAAGTTTATCGAAAATGGATATGACCTAGATTAGGGCAAGTCCAACTATATAAAATGACGTTTTCATAGTATCAGAGATGCAGACATTATAGTTTACAGAGAAGAAAACATATACAGTAGACACTTCAAGCTATATTTTGCCAGAATATGGTGTGGAAGAAATTTACATAATCAAGTGTTCATCTTGATTTAAAGTATGTACAAAAGGAGATTCAGAAAAAAACTTAAGAGTAATGTCCAGATGAAATGAACAATAAACACTATCATAGACACTAAATAGAAGATCTTAAGAAGTTCTACATGGACAATAGTGTCAAATATCATAGATGGGTTACATGGGATGCTGCCTGGAAATATGCCACTGGGTTTCACAATTGGGAGGTCATAGTGGACCTGAGTGAAGGCAGTTTCAGTAGAGCAGTGGGAATAGAAGTCATATTATATTGAATTGAAGAATGAGGAATAGTTAAATTAGTATAATCAGAGTATTGGAATTAGCCTACTCTTTCATAACATTTAGCCACGAAAGGAAATATGACAAAAGTGCAACAAAGCCAGGTGAAGGAAAGTTTTCACTGATAAATGCTTAAGTAGGCTAAGAAGGAGCCAGTGGAGAAGTGACTAAAGGCTCAGGACAGAGGGAAGAATTTGTGAACTGACACCCTGATGAGACAGAAAGTGATAATAACTCATAGTAGTAATAATTGCTAATAGCTAACAGAAGTGTATATTGTGTATCAGGCTCTTTGTGTTTTCAGTGTTCCATTTAATTCAGTCTGTTTCAGAACCATATGAGGTACATGTATTCATTGTATCCACTTTAGATATAGAGAAATTGAGATGCAGGGAGGTTGACCAACTGGCCCAAGTGGTAGAGGGAAGAAAAAGTCCCAGGCAACTGGGCACCAAAGACTGTTTTCTCTCAGTCACTGTGTTATACTGTCTCTGGGGTCTTTGAAAAGAAAATGAAATATGTGTTATTCTAAAATAGGAGAGAAGGGACTAATGAGTAACATCATAGGTATGTATAGAAGTGGAGGGGATGAGAAACTGAGAATGTACTCACTTGATAACTTGTGTTTTTGATATCAAAATAAAAGACTATTATCTGTTGATAATTAGGCATTTGGAGATATGGTGGAAAATTTAAGAAACTTAGTGAACTTTTAGAGACCAGACCAAGCTGCAGAAGAACAACTATAACAATTAACATTGACCTATTTACCAAATCACCTTTCTTACATTATCTTAAGTCCTTAACAGAAAATCCTACAAGATAGGAATTATTCCTATTTTACATAGATGGAAACAGGATTAAATCAGTTAATAATTTGCTAAATATCACTCAGATATTAAGTGCTGAAGCTGGGATTTGAATCAAGGTCTGTCAACAATGTCCATGCTTTTCTATTCTGCCACAATGTCTCAATAAAGAATAAGAAAGGTGATTACTAAGAGCAAGTAGAAGAGACACTGAGAAGTACTGAGGGCCCAGCTTAGAATGAAAACCGTAACTGTTATGCAGCACCAGTCTGTACAGTGAAGCAATGTTCCACACAAAACCCAGTCAATTTTTGAACCAAAATTAGACATGGGCAGTGACTGTTTTCAATTACGGCAGGGAATTAACTGCTTGGGTAAGGATGGTAGAAGCACAAGCAGTAGAGGGGAAAAGTGGAACCAAGAAGGGACGGGACTACTGAACTAAGAGAAAATGAGTAAGTCAAGGCCATGAAGAAAAATGGCATGTTGAGAGAAGAGACAACTTGAGAGAAATGGAAGAATCACAGGTATTGAAGAGAGTAGGTCTTTGGATTTAAGATTTTGCAAGTGGTATATAAGTTTTAACTAAGAACAGAGATTCTCAAATTCATAAGCAGCTACTTTATGGTTTTCAGGCTTTTGTGGAGATCTAGAGACAATGTTGCTTTTCTTAGTTGCCTAGTTAATTCTGCTGACAACCCTAAGACTTCATAAAAGATTATTTCAGCTTTCGTAAGTTAAAATCTTTATAGAGTAAAACTTTGTTCCCTCTTTAGTATTGATGTTTGAAATAATGTAAAATTTATTTTAATTCAAATTTTTTGATGTTTCAGAATTTTATTAGCAGTGGTCAGTTCTTTAACTGTTTTTGAAATTCTATCAAATACACTGAGTTTTTTGCCAGTATTTTACATTGCACTCAGTAGCTACAGAGTCTAAAGTGTAGAAAGTACAATCACCCTGTTTGGCTGAATCAATCATCATTGTAGACCATGGACAGTGCAAACCACAAACAATAATTTCCTGCTGCTAGAACTTGGCTGATGACCGTAACACCTTCCAGTGAAAAATAATCATTCACCATTACAATAATCAAATAATCATTTTTAACACCACATTCTGAGAATTGTACCCTAACAAGTTCTTTGAGATAATCATTCTAATATTTACTTCAATTTATTTATAATTTAATAAACAAAATTTATTCTAGTTAATTGCAACTGCCAAAACCTGGCCTATACTTACCTGGCAGGGGAGATACCATGATCACGAAGGTGGTTTTCGCAGGCCAAGGCTTATCCATTGCACTCTGGATGTGCTGACCCCTGCAATTTCCCCAAATGTGGGAAACTTAACTGCATAATTTGTTGTAGTGGGGGACTGCATTCACACACACACAAAGAAAAATCTGGCCATTTAGAGTGTCTAAAGCAATGGAAGACCTTGGCGTTACTGCTTGATTGCCTTGATTTATAGAACCTGCCTTAATTTGACTAAGAAAAGTCCAAGTATTGGGATATGGTAATTAATTGTGGGTTTAAACAAGGACAAATCTCTGACAGGATTTTTCAGAGTGCATTTTTTAACTGGTAGTCTAAAATGACATACCTAATCCAGCAAATGTGTTGTCTAAGCACATATTTTTGATGATTATCAGAAATGCACCCCCATGCAATGAGAAAATGGTTTTATATACCCTAGCTCTACTGTAAGAGGCAAACTTTCATATTGAAAAATATTTTAAGAGATATTGTTCTTCATCTTTTTCTTAAGCAGTAAAACTTGGTGAAGGCTGAAGTAAGTATCTTCGGTTTCACGTCCCAGATCCCTGAACATGCCAGATAATCTTCTAGCACTAATTTTGTAATGTTCTGCCTTGCCTGGTTTTAAAATATTGCAAGGAAATATGTTTCTGTTACCCTTCTTGGAAGATTAATTTTCCTCTCATCTTTAATGCCATATACTATTCTTAAGATACCCATGTTGAAATTTTTCTATTACTATGTAATGGAATTTTATACCTTGGAATAAAAATATATGCCATCCACAACAGATAATATTTTATATACATGAGTAGTGAGATGACTTTAGCTATTGGAAGAAGAATTCATTACCACACCCAGAAGAATCCATTCATTCTGAGTAATAAGAAGATAGAAAATATGAAGCAGGCTGGGCACGGTGGCTCATGCCTGGAATCCCAGCATTTTGGGAGGCTGAGATGAGTGGATCACCTGAGGTCAGGAGTTTGAGACCATACTTTCCAACATAGTGAAAGCTCATCTCTATTAACAATACAAAATTAGCCTGGCGTGGTGGCATATGCCTGTAATCCCAGCTACTTGGGAGGCTGAGGCAGGAGAATCACTTGAAACCAGAAGGTGGAGGTTGCAGTGAGCTGAGACTGCACCACTGCACTCCAGCCTGGACAACAAAAGTAAAACTCCATCTCAAAAGAAAAAAAAAAGAAAAAAGAAAAGAAAAGAAAATATGAAGCAAAACTATTTTTAAAAGTAAAATCACATCTTTAAACAATGGCAACTGGTTTTTGTGTTTTATGACATGAAGAAAAATGTGACCTACTTAAAAATATTTTATGAGCTTCCCAAGTATCTTATAAACTATCATTAAATCCAGATTCTGTTTATTTTCTGTTTATTTTTATTGTTTCTTTTGACCTTATTTTTCATTCACTTTTCATTATTTGGCAACAAACTTAACCAATGTATTTATTCTGTGATCCAGAATTAATTCAGTATAGCTTGCAAATGCAAATCTTGAAGTTAATATATTTTATATTGGGACAAAACTCAGAAATATATAGGCGTGTGTGTGTGTATTACTTATTTTATCTAAAATTAAAAAATTATAATTGTCATATTTTCAAGGCATAGTACTTATAATATATTTGATTAGGTACAATATCTTTCAAACTTATTTTTAAAACTAATTTATTCATGATATTACCCATTTGTGAATAAGCATCAAGAGTATAACACTGCAATAATGCCTTTATGCTATATATTAAGTAAATGAAACTATATTTATTATGAAACAATTTTTACAATATTAACTTAGGAAAATTGAGAAGGAAAATTATTTTTTACTATAGAGTTTTATTTATTGTAAAAACTTGCTATGATATAACTTGACAAAGCAGAAGACTGGAAAAAAAATGGGTGGTTTTTCAAATGGGATATTTTAGCCCTGAGATCAAAAGGAAACAAGCCAGACGTATTAATAAAAGGCATAACAGAAGCTGCTATGAGTACAAACAGAGCATAGCATTGATCATTACTTAATTCAACAGGCATATGTTTTTCACTCACATCACAGTTCAAATGGATTTTTGCCGACCAGTCTTTCACTTGGTGCTTTGGGATCCTGGCTTCTCCGTCTTGTGTTGCCGCAATCTTCCAGGGACTCCTCAGTGTCCTCTGCTAGATCCTGTGCGTTTAGTCACCCAATAAGGCAAAGAGCAAAAATGAGGAGTATTATGTAGGATGCCTTCTAGCCAGGTTTTGTAGTGGTACACATCACTTTCATCCACATTCATTTATACAGAACCAGGCAGATGGCCTGACCTAACTTAAAGGGGGATAGGGAAGTCAGATCTTCAGAATTCCTACGAAGAGGAGGAAATGGATTGATGAGTATTATGGCTTGAATTGTGTTCCCCCCAAAAGGGTATGGTGAAGTCCTAATTCTTTTTTTTTTTTTTTTTTTTTTTTTGAGACAGTCTCGCTCTGTCGCCGAGGCTGGATGGAGTGCAGTGGCGCGATCTTCTCGGCTGAAGGCAAGCTCCGCGTCCCGGGTTCATGCCATTCTCCTGCCTCAGCCTCCCGAGTAGCTGGGACTACAGACTACAGGCGCCCGCCACTACACCCGGCTAATTTTTGTATTTTTAGTAGAGACGGGGTTTCACTGTGTTAGCCAGGATGGTCTCGATCTCCTGACCTCGTGATCCGCCCGCCTCGGCCTCCCAAAGTGCTGGGATTACAGGCGTGAGCCACCGCACCCGGCCTAATTCTTAGTATCTTAGAATGTGACCTTATTTGGAGATAAGCCTTTTACAGAAGTAAATCAAGTTAAAATGAGGTCAGCAGCATGGTTCATTAATTCAGTATGACTGTTGTCCCTGTAGAAAGAGAAAAAACTGGGCACAAAAGAAGTCACAAAGAGAGAAACCCAAGTGAAGAAACACAGCAAGAAGACAACCATCTAAAAGCCAGGCATTTAGAGGCTAGGAAAGAGGCTGGAACAGAGCCTCTGCTAGAAGAAAAGAGCATGCTTCAGAGGGAGCATGGCGGTGCTGGCACCTTAATATCAGGCTTGGCCTCCTGAACTGTGAGACAACAAATTTCTATTCTAAACCACCCACCCTATGAAACTCTGATACAGCCTGCACCACCTCATTGCCCAACCCCTGCCCAGCAAACTAATACATGTACTGTCTTGCTCTCTTTTGCCACATTTCCATTTCTGATAACGACAGGCTAGTTTATTCAGAAAAACCTTCCCTAAGAAACCAACCAACTAAAAGTTCTGGGTATAATATGTATAAGCCTTCTTAAAAGCATCAGAGAACTGATAAAGTAAGAAAATAGCAGGCCAAAATGTAAGAAAAGTCATGAAACCGTAGTACCAGAGCAACAAAGCTATTAATACTTTTGCACTGATGACATTTGAGATATAAATAAACTAGCATAAATTTTGGCAGGTCTTCAGGATGAGAAGATTAGAAGAACTAGAACCTATCCAAGTTGGAGAGTCTAATACAGGGCTGCCCAACAGAAATATAATGCAACTTACATATATATTTTCAAATGTTCTAATAGCCACATTTTCAAAAGTGAAAAACAAGTAAATCTAACTTTAATAATATATTAATATTAAACTCAATATGCTCAAAATATTTCAATGTGTAATGATTAGAAAAATTTATAAATTAGATGTATTACTTTTTTGTAGTAAGATATTAAGAACCACTCTGGCCAGGCATAGTAGCATGTGCCTAAAGTTCCAGCTGTTTAGAAGGCTGAGGCAGGAGCATCACTTGAGCCCAGGAGTTTGAGGCTAGGCTAGGCAACGCAGCAAGACTTCATCTCTAAAAAAATAAAAACTAAAAAATAAATGCCCCATATTTTACACTGACAATATATATCAAGTCTGAACAGTCACATTTCAAGCCACATGTGGCCAATGCAGTATTTGACAGCGTAGAAATAAGCCCTCAAATTAAAAGGCACAAATTATCAGGCTAAATAAAAAAACAAGACTTAACTATATACTATCACAATTAATAAACTTTAAATAAGTAGATTCAAATAGATTAAAGATAAAAATAATAGGACTTCCACTGAAACCAAATGGAATAGCATTCCCACAATAGATAAAGTATAGGAAATAATAGTTATCAAGACATTGGACTCAAGTGATGAAGGACAGTGATTGCCCAGACATAGGGAACAAATGAGGTGAGCCTTGTGAATATCCAGAGGACTGCCTGAAGAAAGTTTCCAGTTGTGGAACAAGAAAGAGATCCACAAGGAGTCCTACAGTCTCTCTGAATTGAGGAGATGAACCTAGGAATTGAAGAAAGTTTAGACAACCAGAATTCACAGAGGAAAGTACTGGAGGGAAGAAAGCTACATTGAAAGAGAACTGCAGAGACCTGTAGAAAGGCCCTTGACAAGAACTAAGTACCGACCAGCACATGCATACTACAAAACTACCTGAGGTCAGAAAAAGAACCATTAGAAAGTATGAAAGAGGAAAATGCTTGAAGCCCAAACCAACCAGAGTAAAAATTCTCATAATTCACGAGGAATTGGAAACAATCCACAGAAGAGTTTTGCCCCCTGGAGTGGGGAAAAATTAAGTCTAGACTAAACACTGCTCTGGTCCTGCCTAACAAAAACTTAAAAACAAAATAAAAAAGAATCGAAAATATTTCTAAGTAATTTAGCTGCATCCAAGAACAAAGTTCAGGAACACTTGTGGTAATACAAAAATATTCAGACCACAACAAGAAAAAGATGTAGAATGTCTGGCATCCAATACGAAATGAGCAGGCATGCAAAGAAACAATATGATACAATATACTGTGAAGAGGAAAATCAATGAATCGAAACCAATCCAGAAACTACCAGTTGATAGAATTAATAAAGACAATGAAAGTTCTAACTGTATTTTATCTTTTAAAAAACTAAAAGAAAGATTAAGCATAATATGGACAGACATAGAAGTAAAATACCACATAAACTTTGAAAGATTAAAAATCATGTAAAAAGTGAAAAATACACATAGCATAAATAACAGATTAAAAAATGCAAGATAAAGTACTAGTAAACTTGAAAATATAACTGCAGAAAATATTTCAAATGATAACCAGATAGAAAAAAGGCTGAAAATATAATAAATATAAGTGGAGTACTAGTGTGCTATGAAATAATTTGTAGTCTTAATATACATGTAATTGAAGCCTTTGAAAGAGAGAAGGGTGGCAGTGGACAGAAAAAAATATTTAAAGAAATTGAGTGGAAGTTTTTACAAATTTGAGAAAAACAATTACCCTTCACATCCAAGAAGCACAACAAATTCCAAGCACAAGAAACATGCAAAAAAAAAATTACACTAAATCAGGACATCATCAAATTGCTTAAAATAAAAACAAGAAATGATAGCAGAATTATCACTGAAAGCAATGCAAGCCAGAAGACAGCAGAACAACATCACCCAAGTACAGAAAAAAGAAGAAAAAATAAACTGTCAATCAATAATTCCTGACCCTGCAAAAATATGGAGCATTAACACTGAAAATATTTTATATTATTTTTGTGGGGGTATATAAAGATATTTGCAACAGAACTCTTCTTGCCAGTTCTTTAAAACAGAAAAAATGATCCTAAGCAAAGAGTAGGGTTTTTTTCTTGAAAATTTATCAATTAAATATTTCTTAATTTAAGAATTAGAGAATAAGAGTTGATAATGTTTACTATTGGTGAATAAAGCATTACAAGATATAATGAATATTAATAAAAATAATCACTAATGCTACTTTAATGAGGATAATAGTATTTCATCACTTTTTAAGTTGGCAGGAAGACTTTACATAACAGCTGTCTATGTCTCTTTTATTTTTCTTTGTAATAAAATATCCATTAGCAAATCTAATAGACATATCTTTTGATACATGAAAAATCACTTTAAAAATAAGTAGATGAGGCAGTTTTCTTCAACTATACCCACTTTTAAGCAGTAAATCCTTGAGATTTGTTCCTCTTCTGAATATTTTAAAGGGATATTACCTGTACGGTCTCTTCTTTTTGACAGTAAGGTAGTGACCATAAATATCCATGAGGATCACCCATTCACTTTCTACTTTTTCAGAATACTTAATAAGATCCTTCTGGTTTGAGACTTTGTAGAGGTAGCAAAAGTATATGTTGCTTAGTGAACCCATATCTGGAATACACAGTTCATTATCAGTCATTACGTATACCACGAACTTCAAATAACACACAAAATCAACTAAATGTTCTGTCATTAACCATTGCTATTTCTTTGGAAAACGTTAGCCTCAGAGGCATTGAGTGAATTGTCTTATCATCCATATCACATTCTTTCATTATTTCAGAGTTGAGTAATCTTCTATCCTGGTATATAATGATCATAATATCTGATAACAAAATAATGTTCAAACTATAGAATGTTTTCTAGCTTCTCTGTTAAAAATCCAAAGTTTGTCAATTAAAATTTATATATAGTCTATCAAATATATCTCCCTTGATCTATTTCTTTTCCCAATTTTTACTCTACAAATATATGAAATATTGAAATTTCAGAAAGGGTGCTTATTACTAAAAATGAAAACATTTTAATAATTTCAACAAAATGCTTATGACTTTATTTGGTTTTGATAGGAAGTCTTAAGAATCTCTATAATTTTACAAAGTGTGAGTAGGGTGTGGGAGAATATATTCCAGGCTATTTCTTGGGGACAATTTTTTTATTCTGAAGAACTTGTTTCTAAGATAACTTCTAATTTTCCTCCACTGAAATATTCTCTCAACTTATTGGCTATTTCTTTTGATAATGTAAATTCACAATTCTATCAAGATGGTGTTTAAGTTTTTCTGATTGCAGATAGGCCTTTCAATGACAGTCTGTTAAATTGCTGCTAAGCAAGATGGTACTATCATTAAAACAGGGTCATAAAGCCTGAACACTGAAATGAGGTCTTAGGGGAAGGCACAGGTAGAGGGATGAGAGTGAAGATCATGAATTAAACCTAAGAAAAGTGACTTCAACAGTCACATTTAAGGTTAAGTTCAATCTTTCCTCTATATATTTTAAGGGGAAAGAAACATATCGAATTAGCATGTGAATTGTCATAAAATATTTTCGAACATGTATTATGTTGCAGTGTACTGGCAGTGATATTATACAAACATAAAAAGAATGTCACTTAATTCCTAAACATTTAATCCTTACAAGTTTAAATTTTGAAATAAATATTGTTATTAATTATCTAAACTTTTCCTGTGTTGAATGTTTATTATATACAAGTGAAGAAAGCAAAGAGGTGTGCCATGCTGTAAATATGTACATACTAGATACATACAAGAAAATGATACACAAATTTTAAAAAATGTAAAACTACAAAGATATTTGCCTTTTATACCTAAATGACTTTCTCTATGATGTGGAATACAAAAGCTTGGTAAATTATGTATTTCCATTTCCTCCCTATAAGTCAACAAACTAAATGAAAGTATGTTATGATATTTTCAGTGAGTATAAAACACAGATCATTATTTATTAAGAGTATCCAGTGGGGAACATTTGGTAGGAAGTAAGCAAACACTTTTCAGATGGAAATGCTAGATTTCCTCGTGGTAACTGAGACTACCTGCATTCCTCTGAGGTTCTTTGTGACATCAAAGCAGTTTTTGCTTAACTGCCTGATTGCTTATATTTCCATCCAGCTCAAAACACAGGGATTTCATCTAAGTTACACGACAGACACATAGCATCACAAGCAAAATTTGCCTTTTGGACAGCAAAACAACAAACTGTAGGTAGTTCACTCATTATCAATTTATTTTGCTTGTCAAAAAAATTAATTTATTGAATGCTAACTTTATCAAGTCTTCTGTGAAATATTTTATAAAATATTTGTACAATAGAGTTCCTACCTTCAGGGACCTAACCAAACAGTTAAGGAGACTAATGAGTATAAAACAATTAAAGAAGAATAACAGATAATACAACAAAGTCATATAATAAATTCAGTTTGCAGGATTTAAGTGAATTATTTAAGGATAAAAATCAAATGTCATGTAAAATTTTCCCATTGATTTTAGAAAAGCATTACTTTCTAGATTGGCATGCTGTTGTTATTTGGCTGTTCTTATGATGAACTGATGTCTTTTAGTGGCAAGTTCTATGTCAGCAAATAGAGTTTTTCTCCGATGAGCTGAATCTGTTTGAGCTTTCAATCTATATGATGATGGTGTGTGTCTTTCAATCATTGTTGTCTGCCCTAAATTCTGTAGTTAGTATTATATTTCTTCATCAGTGTATAAATACCACTTAATGACCTCCAGGGTGTTGAATTTTTATTGCTCAGATCCAGATCAGATTAAAAAGGAAAAACATTCAAACACATCTTTTATCACCGTAAGGGCTCTGTTTAGTGTTATACATTACATTCTGCCTCTTGCTAAAAATGATTTTCTCAAGTTTCTTTAAATTTAATTCATGGGGCATCAAGCAATTTTAGGAAAGATGCAGGATTTAAACAAACATGAATAAAAATAAGCTTATTTTGTAAAGAGAAATAGGCTAATAACTTTAAAAGTTTGTCTACAAATGAAAGAAATAAAAAGATCAATTTATTCAGCTTTCAAAGGAATGTAAACCCACAGAATAAAATGGAGCTCTAATATCTTGGCAGGTGTTGAAGAATACCATGCTAGACAGCAAAACCCAAAATGTGACAAGTGATTGCAAGAATGCTGTCAAGTATGTGCATGTGTGTGCACACGCACACATGCAATGTATTTCCTGAATACTGAAGCTAATTTACTACAAACAATATGAATAGCGATCTGCAATTACTCTAAAATGAAATCTATCACTGCTGAATGAAAGAGTGAGAGAGTTAGCTGTCTGATTCCAGAAGCAACCTTCTTCCTCCATTGTAAATAACATACTTTGACAAGTCTATGTGTTATGTGGGCTAAAACAAATGAAAGATTTTGAAAATGTGAATTATTAAAGAGCCAAAATGTGTTCTTATTGAATTATTTACTTTTCTCATAATACAAGTGCTTTTATAAAAACAAAAAGGAAGATACATGCAAGCTATATTGGGGGTTTGTGGAAACCCCAAATTCTTTAAAAACCACTTTGAAATTTCAAATGAAAGCCCAATCAACCAGGTAGAAACAATACACATCTCTAAAAGAGCCACTATTGTCAAATTCCCTCAGATTCTTCTTGGAAATCAAGTCAAAGGAGATTAAATTAAAGACAAATTTCCAAAAAAGTATTCGAGTTAATTTTCAGCTTTTGAATTGATATTTATGAAGTGGCAAACATCTTTTGAAAAAATAAATTTGAATTTGAGCAATATAACTATTATGGTATTTTAGTTCACCTTGAAAAAATCTTGCCCAGCAGTAATGTAACAGGAGAATGAGGGTATGATGATTTAAGAATACTCAGAACTGGTTTTTTAAAAAAGGAGAAATAAAAACATGATCATTTTATAATACATTTTTTATATAAGCCCCTGGGCTTGAGTTTCTTGAATATGAAATGGAAATAGAGCAGAAAGGAATCAGCAGGCCAAACAGAAACCCACCAAATAGACATCTGTAATTGTCTTTTAAAATCTGTTAAAAGCAAGAAAAAAATATTTTTACTTCCTGGGCAATAAAACATAGAAAGTGCCATCTGAACTGAGTGAAAAAAAAAAAAGATTCTGAAAATAATTCCCATTCTGATTATCCTTAAGTATCCTCTGTTATTACAAGAAAAAAAGAGATCATTAGCATTTAGCCTACATATATAAACACCTAGTAACATCAAAAATTCTCTCACTAATTGACCTAATCTCCAGTCTAGGTATGACAATATTTAGTTTTTCACTTTACAAAAAGAAATTTAAGGATTAAGTTTGAAGCTCCAGTAATTTTGGCAAATTTTACAAAAATCTAAAACTTTTGTGCAATAAGAATCTAATTGATTCTTAAAAGTAAGGATCTTAAGGATTTTAAAAACAATGAAGAATTTGCATCATTTCAGTTACTTATAGTATTAAAATATATTTTTGGCAATCTGTTTGTTCCTATTTTGTCTTAAAGTTTCTGAAGACAATTTTGAAACTATCCCATTCTCCTTAAAGCCAGAAGCTCACTTTTAATTTTAAATTGTTTTATTACGAAATGTTAGAAAGGACATAGTTTCTTTCTTTCTTTTTTCTTTTTTCTTTTTTTTTTTTTTGACAGAGTCTTGCTCTGTCACCCAGGCTAGAGTGTAGTGGCATGATCTCGGCTCACTGCAATCTCAGCCTCCCAGGTTGAAATGATTCTTCTGCCTCAGCTTCCCAAGTAGCTGGGACTACAGGTGTGTGCCACCACGCCCAGCTAATTTTTGTATTTTTAGTAGAGACGGGGTTACACCATATTGGTCAGGCTGGTCTCAAACTCCTGACCTCGTGATCCACCCCCCTCGGCCTCCCAAAGTGCTGGGATTAGAGGTGTGAGTCACAGAGCCTGGCCAAAAGGACATAGTTTCAATAGTTTAAAATATAAGACTAGAAAAATTTACCAGGAATCTTTATAACTAGGATTTTATGTTTTATTAAACAAGGGTAATATTGTGAATACTTTAAAGAAAATGTTCATATGGTGTCTAAATAAGTGTGGGAAAGCATTATCTCTTAACTTTCAAACCTGAGCGTCCTAGCAAGCAAGACAGAATTGTATGTAAGGAATAAACCAACAGCCTTCACTGGGCCTTGCCTGCCAAGGTGTTTCTCTAGTCAATCATTTCTAATTTTCCTTACTGTATTCAAATCTCCAACTTCCCCCATAATTCATCCTAGATCTCCCATTTTATTATCAGCACATGATCATAGCTCCTACCTAGCAAGAAAAGTTCAAGCCATGAGACAGGTACTCCAACTCCCCATACGGAATCTAGAAACCTGCTTTTATCTGTGCCCATTCTTTCCTCTTCATCACCTATAAAATAAGAAAGATGCCTCTCCTTTTACATAAGGCCAGTATCTAAACCATGCACTGGAGCCCATCCTCTGCTGTCTTACCAGAAATCGTCCCTTAGTTACTTACTTTATTCTCCCCTTGCTCCATTTTTCCATCAGTATCATACATAAACAGTCTCAATTCACTCTCATCTTTAAAACCTGCCTTCAATCCCCCTCTGGCTACTGACCTTCTCTTCACAGCAAAATTTCTCAAGAGCGTGGTTTACATTTCCTCCTTCGCTTTCATAATCACTTTCATCCCTTTCAGAAATCTGAGTTCTATTTCCAGCCACTCCTTCATATCAAACGTTCAGTAATCAGTGCACTCCACATTGCTAAACCCAGTAGACACTTTTCAGTTTCATCATGCTTGAGTTTTCAACAGTAATCAACAGTGAGCTGTTTTGCTCACCATTCCTTCTTGAAATATTTTCCTCCATATCTATATCTAGATATAACTTTTCCTCTATATCTAGATATAAGCTAGCTGAATGTGAGTCCAGGACTGAGATACACTCAGCCAGTGCTATTCTCCAAAGACAACTCCTCCACCAAGCTGGTATTCGAAGGCAAAAAAAAAAAAAAAAGCATTTATTTGGAGTTTTGAGTGTTTTATTTTAACCACCAGGCTCCTCTCATTAATCAGAAATATTTAAGTTCAGTCTAAGTTTAATGAAATCTAACTGAGTAAACAGAAAAAAAGGAAAGATTACTCAGTTCCTCACTGTCACTCTATTCTGGCACATAGAACATGATCATGTATGACAGGTGTTTGTATAAGAACCATCCCCCCTTTCACCAACCAGGATAAAGTGATAACATTGTACCAAACATCTTTGCTCCCAAATTAACTCTTGCTTCAACCTAAAGCTTCCATATATTCCCTTACACAAATTCCATTTGGCATTTTCTATCATATATGTAAGCATGAAACATATAGCATCTTCACCAATTCCATAATTAATAATTAAAAACTAAAAATTATTTGATCACATGCAGATTGAGTTAGGGTGAGGCCTGATACACCTAAAGCAGTAGCATGCTGTTTTCTTTTCATGCCCTTAAATTTCATATCTCCTAATGTTCTTTTTCCTGCAATATAAACAAACTTGTGGCCAAAGAGTATGATTTCACAGGTAATTTTTTGAGGCTTTTCAGTGTTCAAAAAAAATGGCAAGATATAAATAGGAAGTTAAACTTATTATCATGAAGTCAAATCAAACAAGTAGAACAAAGGTGAGAAAAATTATTGGAAGCTTTATCGGAAGCAAAGAAAGGCATTGCGTGGGTGAAAGCCAATGAGAAAAAGGAAAGAAAAGCTCAAGTAGTCATGAGCTTATATTTTAACATAATCTTTGACTTACCAGGCATACTACTGAGTCTTTTTCTAACTAAATATCTTCAGTACACAATTTGAAAGAAGAGCTTTATCCTTTGAATAGTGGAATATGTTTCCTAACGTGTTCTGGTCTGTTGGAAGAAGGAAGATAATATGCTTATAGTTAACTACAAAAGGCAATGGAATTTTTTGGTATTAATAGATTCTGAAAGGTGATTCAAATATGGTATCAGTTATTAACATCTTTAGGCTATTATTTCGTTTTCCTCTTTTTTCGGTTTTTCTTTGAGGGACAGACTTTTAAAGTCTTTCAAGAAGGTATTCATTTTAATGCATCCTGCATAAAATTTAAGATAGCTATCCAATGCAAATTCATATTCTCAGTCTGCTCAGGCTACCATAACAAAGTACCATAGACTTAATGGCTTAAACAAGAGAAATTTATTTTTTCACAGTTCTGGGGGCTGGGGAGTCCAAGATTGTGGTCCAACAGGGCTCTGTTTTGGTGAGAGCTTTCTTCCTAATTTTTAGAGTTACCTTCTCACTGTGTTCTCAGATGGTGGAGAGAGAGAAAGAGTGACCTTTCTTTCTCTTCTTTTAAAGCCACAGTCCTGTGAGATTAGGGTTCTACTCTTATGACCTACTTTCACCTTAATTACCTCCTAAAGACTCTATCTCCAAATACAGTTACAATCAGGGGGATAGACTTCAACATGTGAATTTTGGGGAAACACGATTTGGACCATAGCATTAATTAATCAATTAAGTATGCTTAAATTATCTTTACTATTATACAATATTATTTTCTACGGATATTTCTTGATCCAAGTAAAAATTTGGTAAGTAAATTAGTATCTTAATTGAAAAATGATAAAGACTGGAATTGCGCAGTCTTGCTGTTGATCACCAAGATTGAGAATCAGGTGTTAGTAATTTTTTTAAGTCTGAAAGATTTGTTCCTGAATGTTTGAGGCCATGATCATTAGTTAACAGGTCATTGATAATATACTTATAAGGTGTTCACACAAAAAAAGTGAATGTCAAAATATACTTTCCTCTACTGTGTTTTTAATTCAAGGTGTAAATCTCTATGTCATAACAAAAACCCTATTGAGTTTATCAGGATTTTACCATAACAACTTGAGTTAGTACTCTCCACCGTGAAGTCCATTGGGATTATGGAAGTTCCAGCCATCATTAAAGCCCCAGAGTCAAGTAATGAACTAGCAGAAAGCATATTATGAAATTATTTTGTCAAATTCACTATAAAACAAGACCAATAAAAAAAGAATTTATGCTCCTTTTCTGACTGCTTACTTTGAGTTTTACTCATTCTCCTTTTGAGTCTTGCAACTAGGACTGATCAATCGTTAATAATCTTTGATAATCTTTAAATATTTTTGAAAATATTTAAAACTAAGAGCAACTATTTTTCCGGCTTTGGTATCTATTTTCTGGAATTATCAGACACCAGTAAGTAATAAACCTGGCCTTTTTGTCTTCTATGTTCCAATCCCTGAACAAATTCATAAAGCAAACTGGAGTTCCCTATGAGAAAATAATTTCTGTGGCATATTTGAAGATGCAGGTGAAAAAGCTAAAAACCCATTGTAAGTGTCTCATTCCATTTGTGCTGCTGTAACAACATACCTGAAACTGGGTAATTTATTTTTTTAAAAAACCTGAAATATATTTTTTACAGTTCTAGAGGCTGGAAAATCAAAGATCGCAGCACAATATCTGATGTTTGGTTGTAGGTCTTTCTGCATCCTCACATGGTGGAAGGCAGAAGGGCAAAAAAGGGAATGGATGCTATAAACTCATTTGGTAGAAGAGCAGAAGAGAAGAAACCCACATCACAGTCTTTTTTATAATGTCATTAATCAAGTTATGAGGACAAAGTCCCTCATGGCTCAAATATCTCCCAAAAGACCCCACCTCCTAACACTGTTGCATTAGTGGTTAGGTTTTCAACACATAAGTTTGGGAGGCAACATATTCAGATTACAGCACTGGGACATCCAATATGAAAGTACAAATATTTTACCAGTTAAGAATACAGTCTTCACTGAGGACCTAACCAAGTAAAAGTTAAATTTTAAGCATTATTTATAAAAACATTATTTGTTATTTTAAAAATCTGCTGTTGATTGTCTACAAAAATGAAGAGCAAGTATGAAATGTTTAATCAAATCCCACAGTTGACAAGCCAAATAGAATTCTTTCTGGTGTTCTAACATATTTTTTGAAAATAATAGCAGAAAAATTTACCATATTTGATTTAATTTTTAATTTTCCTGCAACCACACTTCTTCTGAGGGTACATTAAGAAGTACTGTCACTTTCAAATAGAGGGGGAAGTAAAACAGCTTGGAAGATCAGTCCTGTCTAATTAGTATAGCTGTCTCAACCATCTGACAGAGAATGGCCAATAGGAATAGTAAAAAAAGGAAAGACATGGAAAAAGTCAGAAAGTCAAAACTATCTTCTTAGAAAGAAATCCAGTGTCAATCTGTTATTTTACCATAGATGGGTTGAGTATATCTTCCATGAAATCGCTTCAGTTGGTTTTGTTTGCCCACATGTGTATAGTCCACACTGTGCTACTGGGCACCTTCTCCTAAACCCATAGCCTCCTCCTGACATTCCTCTATCCCAGGAATTCCCTTTTCCTCCTCCCTTTCTGGATAGTGACCCTGTGCTGCTGTCTCTGGAAGTCTACTGCTCTGAGGGACATCCTCCCAGGCAATCCTGTCCAACTGCCACCCAATAAAGCTTGTAGTTACATAACTTCCATCTCATGGTCCTGTCTTTTCCTTGACTTGCAGCCAGAATGCTCAAATTCATCAGTCTCCTTAAGTACATCATGGATTAACGACAATTTGAGAAATGAAATTATGGTTATATCTGGCTCACCAATAAAAGAAAAAGGCAATGTAAAAACCAGTTGGTAATATATGTGATCTATTAAATTATAAATCCACATTTAATAGATCAGAAATGAAAAAATAAAAGCATTAATATAGCTGGTTAATTTGATCTTAATCAATTAAGAAACAAATGCAGGAGAATAGACAATATGATGACTATATTTATTTTAGTACAAATTTTTTAAAATCTGAGGAGATTTCTATTTCCTTGTGATAAAATAGCAAACAATAAGAAAATTATGCAGATGGCAAACCTGTCCTGTGAAGGTTCATGTTGTAAATATCTTAGGCTTTTCAAGCTGCATAGTCACCTCCTTGGCTTCTTTCTCCTCCTCCCCTTCTTCTTTCATCTTGTTTTTCTTTTCTTTTTTTTTTTTTATTATACTTTAAGTTCTAGGGTACATGTGCCCAACGTGCAGGTTTGTTACATATGTATAAATGTCCCATGTTGGTGTGCTGCACCCATTAACTCGTCATTTACATTAGGTATATCTCCTAATGCTTCCCCCCACCTTTGCCCAACCCCACGACAGGCCCCAGTGCATGATGTTCCCCTTTCTGTGTCCAAGTGTTCTCACTGTTCAGTTCTCACCTATGAGTGAGAACATGTGGTGTTTAGTTTTTTGTTCTTGCAATAGTTTGCTGAGAATGATGGTTTCCAGCTTCATCCATGTCCCTACAAAGGACATGAACTCATTCTTTTTTATGGCTGTATAGTATTCCATGGTGTATATGTGCCACATTTTCTTAATCCAGTCTACCATTGATGGACATTTGGGTTGGTTCCAAGTCTTTGCTATTGTGAATAGTGCCGCAATAAACATACGTGTGCATGTGCCTTTATAATAGCATGATTTATAATCCTTTGGGTATATACCCAGTAATGGGATGGCGGGGTCAAATGGTATTTCTAGTTCTAGATCCTTAAGGAATCACCACACTGTCTTCCACAATGGTTGAACTAGTTTACAGTCCCACCAACAGTGTAAAAGTGTTCCTATTTCTCCACATCCTCTCCAGCACCTGTTGTTTCCTGACTTTTTAATGATTGCCATTCTAACTGGTGTGAGATGATATCTCATTGTGGTTTTGATTTGCATTTCTCTGATGGCCAGTGATGATGAGGATTTTTTCATGTGCCTGTTGGCTGCATAAATGTCTTCTTTTGAGAAGTGTCTGTTCATATCCTTCGCCCACTTTTTGATGAAGTTGTTTGTTTTTTTCTTGTAAATTTGTTTGAGTTCTTTGCAGATTCTGGATATTAGCCCTTTGTCAGATGAGTAGATTGCAAAAATTTTCTCCCATTCTGTAGGTTGCTTGTTCACTCTGATGGTAGTTTCTTTTGCTGTGCAGAAGCTCTTTAGTTTAATTAGATCCCATTTGTCAATTATGGCTTTTGTTGCCATTGCTTTTGGTGTTTTAGACATGAAGTCCTTGCCCGTGCCTGTGTCCTGAATGGTATTGCCTAGGTTTTCTTCTAGGGTTTTTATGGTTTTAGGTCTAACATTTAAGTCTTTAATCTCTTTAATCCATCTTGAATTAATTTTTGTAAAAGATGTAAGGAAGGGATCCAGTTTCAGCTTTCTACATAAGGCTAGCCAGTTTTTCCAGCAACATTTGTTGAATAGGGAATCCTTTCCCTGTTTCTTGTTTTTGTCAGGTTTGTCAAAGATCAGATAGTTGTAATGTGTGGTATTATTTCTGAGGGCTCTGTTCTGTTCCATTGGTCTATAGCTCTGTTTTGGTACCAGTACCATGCTGCTTTGGTTACTGTAGGCTTGTAGTGTAGTTTGAAGTCAGGTAGCGTGATGCCTCCAGCTTTGTTCTTTTGGCTTAGGATTGTCTTAGCAATGCGGCCTCTTTTTTGGTTCCATATGAACTTTAAAGTAGTTTTTTCCAATTCTGTGAAGAAAGTCATTGGTAGCTTGATGGGGATGGCATTGAATCTATAAATTACCTTGGGCAGTATGGTCATTTTCACAGTATTGATTCTTCCTATCCATAAGCATGGAATGTTCTTCCATTTCTTTGTATCCTCTTTTATTTCATTGAGCAGTGGTTTGTAGTTCTCCTTGAAGAGGTCCTTCACGTCCCTTGTAAGTTGGATTCCTAGGTATTTTATTCTCTTTGAAGCAATTGTGAATGGGAGTTCACTCATGATTTGGCTCTCTGTTTGTCTGTTATTGGTGTATAAGATGCTTGTGATTTTTGTACATTGATTTTGTATCCTGAGACTTTGCTGAAGTTGCCTATCAGCTTAAGGAGATTTGGGGCTGAGACGATGGGGTTTTCTAAATATACAATCATGTCATCTGCAAACAGGGACAATTTGACTCCCTCTTTTCCTAATTGAATATCCTTTATTTCTTTCTCCTGCCTGATTGCCCTGGCCAGAACTTCCAACACTATGTTGAATAGGAGTGATGAGAGAGGGCATCCCTGTCTCATGCCAGTTTTCAAAGGGAATGCTTCCAGCTTTTGCCCATTCAGTATGATATTGGCTGTGGGTTTGTCATAAATAGCTCTTATTATTTTGAGATACGTCCCATCAATACCTAATTTATTGAGAGTTTTTAGCATGAAGGGCTGTTGAATTTTGTCAAAGGCCTTTTCTGCATGTATTGAGATAATCATGTGGTTTTTGTCTTTGGTTCTGTTTATATGCTGGATTATGTTTATTGATTTGCATATGTTGAACCAGCCTTGCATCCCAGGGATGAAGCCCACTTGATCATGGTGGATAAGCTTTTTGATGTGCTGCTGGATTTGGTTTGCCAGTATCTTATTGAGGATTTTTGCATCGATGTTCATCAGGGATATTGGTCTAAAATTCTCTTTTTTTGTTGTGTCTCTGCCAGGCTTTGATATCAGGATGATGCTGGCTTCATAAAATGAGTTGGGGAGGATTCCCTCTTTTTCTATTGATTGGAATAGTTTCAGAAGGAATGGTACCAGATCCTCCTTGTATCTCTGGTAGAATCCGGCTGTGAATCTGTCTGGTCCTGGATTTTTTTTGGTTGGTAGGCTATTAATTATTGCCTCAATTTCAGATCCTGTTATTGGTCTATTCAGAGATTCCACTTCTTCCTGGTTTAGTCTTGGGAGGGTGTATGTGTCCAGGAATTTATCCATTTCTTCTAGATTTTCTAGTTTTTTTGCATAGAGGTTTTTATAGTATTCTCTGATGGTAGTTTGTATTTCTGTGGGATTGATGGTGATATCCCCTTTATCATTTTTTATTGAGTCTATTTGATTCTTCTCTCCTTTCTTCTTTATTAGTCTTGCTAGCGGTCTATCAATTTTGTTGATCTTTTCAAAAAACCAGCTCCTGGATTCATTGATTTTTTGAAGGGTTTTTTGTGTCTCTATCTCCTTCAGTTCTGCTCTGATCTTAGTTACTTCTTGCCTTCTGCTAGCTTTTGAATGTGTTTCCTCTTGCTTCTCTAGTTCTTTTAATTGAGATGTTAGGGTGTCAATTTTACATCTTTCCTGCTTTCTCTTGTGGGCACTCATTGCAATAATTTTCCCTCTATACACTGCTTTAAATGTGTCCCAGAGATTCTGGTATGTTGTGTCTTTGTTCTCATTGGTTTCAAAGAAGATCTTTATTTCTGCCTTCATTTCATTATGTACCCAGTAGTCATTCAGGAGCAGGTTGTTCAGTTTCCATGTAGTTGAGCGGTTTTGAGTGAGTTTCTTAATCCTGAATTCTAGTTTGATTGCACTGTGGTCTGAGAGACAGTTTGTTAAAATTTCTGTTTTTTACATTTGCTGAGGAGTGCTTTACTTCCAACTGTGTGGTCAATTTTGGAATAAGTGTGATATGGTGCTGAGAAGAATGTATATTCTATTGATTTGGGGTGGAGAGTTCTGTAGATGTCTATTAGGTGCACTTTGTGCAGAGCTGAGTTCAATTACTGGATATCCTTGTTAACTTTCTGTCTCATTGATCTGTCTAATGTTGACAGTGGGGTGTTAAAGTCTCCCATTATTATTGTGTGGGAGTCTAAGTCTCTTTGTAGGTCTCTAAGGACTTGCTTTATGAATCTGGGTGCTCCTGTATTGTGTGCATATATATTTAGGATAGTTAGGTCTTCTTGTTGAATTGATCCCTTTACCATTATGTAATGGCCTTCTTTGTCTCTTTTGATCTTTGTTGGTTTAAAATCTGTTTTATCAGAGACTATGATTGCAATCCTGCCTTTTTTTGTTTTCCATTTGCTTGGTAGATCTTCCTCCATCCCGTTATTTTGAGCCTATGTGTGTTCATCTTTTCTTTCTTAGCAAACCTCTAAAAATGTAAAAGGCATTCTTAGCTCACTGGTCACACAAAAACAGGCCATAGACTAAATGCAGCTATTACTGTAGTTTGACAACCTCTGAAACAGATAAACAAAATAAGGATAGTGTCTTTATGATTTGTCAATATATTACAAGCTCACTACTCATTTTCTATTTTCATGCCTTTGAATTTGCTGTTTTCTTCACCTGAATTGCCTTATCCCTCTTCCGTGGCTAGTTCAAGTCACAATTGCTTTAAGACAAAATTTACATTTTACTTCCTCCAAGACACTTATCTAACAAAAAGTGAAACTAATATTTCTGTTATGAATATAAGTATAGAAGTCTATGAATACCACCTAATTTACTATCTGCAAACAGAACTCCAGGAACCAATATTCACTTGCCTCTTGTACAACTTCACTATGGGTTTTTATTGATAATGTTTCAGCATTATTCTTTTAAGGACATGCTTACTACTTTTTAAGTCTTAACTTATGTGAACAATATAAACCATATTGCATTGTTTTCCTGTTAATATAAATTCTACTAAGTTAATACATTTGTTCTGTTATCTGGCTGCCTTGAAACAACTATACACTCAGGGTGATTCTGCATCAGCTTAATATACAAAAAGAAAAAAAAAACAAGAGAATGTTGCTCCTATCCTAAAAACAAGAAAAAGTCAAATAATCTATAAAATTATACCTATTCTTTAGCCCATAGGAAAGCTGAGTTTGTAAGGCAAACAAATGAACTGAATTCCAAAAAATGACAAGCCCTCTGAGGAGAAACAGAACACATACCTTTGCCAAGGCATGGGAGGAAGAGGTGATCAACACAGAAGTAGGTAAAAGTAAATCACATTAAATTTTGACAAAATTTTAAAGGCTGATATTGACTAGCATATCAGTTCAGAAAAGCTGAAAGTCCTAGAAATAAGAGAAGTTTGCACTCACTCACAAGCTTTTTTCCATGAGCCAATTTCATAAAAATTTAAGGTCTACACAGGAGACTGGGGAGAGCTCCCTTAGTTACACAGGTATGCAAGCGGTGATCAACTACCCCTGAGGAACAGGTACAAAACTTCCATGTACTTTCTCAGACCCTTCAATTATAAAAAGAAAAGGCATTAAGTTGCTGGAGTAGAGGCAGGAAGTGATACTGCCCCTAGAGTCCAGGCAAAACTCCTATGATTCTGGCAGAGGAGTAGAAGCATAACCCAGCTGCCTCTGGAGAATAAATAAGAATCCCTCCTGTTTTCAGAACATAAGCATATAGTCACTGTTTCTGGTGGATGAGTATAAAGGGAAGAAACAAAATCTTCCTGCTCCTGAAAGAGGGGCAGGTAACCTCTTGGATTCAAGATCTTACACAGATAGAAAGCAGAGGTCTATTACCAGTAGGGTAAATGCAGAAAGCACTCTCCTATCCAGTATCCTCCAAAGATACAAGGTAGGGTTTAGCTGACATGAGAAAAAAGGCCAGGTCTATGAAAACTCCACAACCATGTCCCAGGAGCAGAGAACACACTTGAAAATGAAACTACACCAAGATAATAAAGGATCCTCTTTCTCTAACATGAGTGACACAGAGGAGAGGACTATGTGTGGGGAGGGGTAAGAACATGAAGAGAGATCCGCTCCATGGTGCAGGTGTAGAGGAACTGCTGAAAGCTGGAGGTGGAGCAGAAGCAATGAGAAAACCCTCCAACACTCCAGGCCTCACCCCCAGCGCAGGATAACATCCCACCACTATAGGAATTTAAAGGGAGTGATGTAATACAGGTTAAAATAGCAACAACCAAACCCATCTCAAATACTGACAAGATTGACACAATTGTCCATACTAATAAACTGACAAACGAGATGTGCTGATTTCTGAAAGTAAATAGATTTTCCCTCAGACTCTAGTGTTGTTCTATACACAATATCTGGCATTCAGTCAAAAATTACGAGACACACAAAAAAGCAAAGAAAAACCTCATTGTCAAAAGATAAACCAATCAATATCAGACTCAGAGGTGATCCATATGTTAGCTCAATCACACAACAACTTTACAATAACTCTAACTAGCATGTTACCAGGTCTTGTAGAAAAAGTGGGCAAGAACAGGCAGAAAATTTCAGTAGGCATGTCAAATCTATAAAACAAGTGTCAAATAAAAATGCTAGAAATAAAAACAGCACTACGTCAGAGGTGAAGAATTCCTTTGGTATTCTTATCAACACACCTAACCAAACTGAGGGAAAAAATCAGTAAACTTGAAGATAGATTAGTATAAATTATCCAACCCAATACAGAAAGAGCAAAAGAAAGCAGATAGAACAACCAAGAGGTGAAAGACAGTATCAAATGCACTAATATACATGGAATTTGAGTCCCAGAAGAAGAATAAAGAGAAAACCGTATATAAGAAATATTTGAAGACAACCAGTATTACATAGAGAAACAATTATAGCCCACTTCTCATCAATATCTATACACATCAAAAGATGTCAATTTCAAAGTACTAATAGGGTAAAAAAGTCTCTTCAGAAGTCTATGCCCAGTTTAAAAAAAAAAAACTTTTAAAAGTTAAAGTAAAATACATATTTTTTTTGCAAACAAAAACAGAGAATTTATTGCCAGCAGATCTGCACTATAAGAAATGTTAAAGGAATGTGTTCAGTCGGTAGGAGCATAGTACAAGATAGAAATTTAAATTTACATAGGAAAATGAAGAGTGCCAGAAATGGTTAAAAAAGGGGGTAAGTACAAAAGATTTTTCTTGTTATTATTAATTACTTTAAAAAGATAAACTGCTGTGAAAATCAAAAATAGTGAAAATGTATTGTAAGGCTCATATATATGTACGAGTAAAATGCATGACAACGATAGCATAAATAATGAAATGGAGGAAGTGGAATAAATATATTTGAAGTTTATGATCAATTAAGATGTACATGGCAAATTCTAGACCAACCATTAAAAAAAGATGTAGAACGAATAAGGTAATGGAGGAAGTAAAATGAAATACACATAATTGAGTAGTCAAAAAATGAGCAGTTAAAGAAGGACAAGAGAAACAAACTGATGGGACAACAGAGAACAAATAGCAAAATTGTAGATATATAACAATTATATTATTAAACTAATAATTACATTAAATGCAAATGGTCTAAATCTTTCGATTAAAAGGCAAGATTGTCAGGTTAGAAGAAAAATAGCCAACTATATATTATCTACAATAAATCTCTTTGAATATAGAGATAAATAAGTGAGAAGTAAAAAGAAGGTAAAGATATATCATGTAGCACTAATCAAAAAAATGTTGGAATGATTATACTCTAAAAGTAAACCAGAATGAAAAATATTGTCGGAGAAAAGAAAGAGAATACATAGTAATATAGAGCTCAGTTCATCAAGAATACATATTAATTTTAATATACATCCAACAACTGAGCTCTAAAATATAAAATTAAAAATTGGTAAAATTTTTAAAAGAAAAAGACAAATTTATAGTTGAACATCAACACTTGTCTTTGAATCATTGTTAAAGAGAGATATCAATAAGATATAAAAAACTGAAACAACATAATCAATCAACTCGACCTACTTGACATTTATACAACACTCCATCTAAAAACAGAACATACAATATTTTCAAATGGGCATGAAACATCCACAAATGGACATAAAGCAAAACAAACTTCAACAATTTGAAGTCATTTAGGTCATGCAAATGATGTTTTATTATCACAGTGGAATTAAACTAGAATCAATAGCAAAAAGATATTATAAATTACACAAGTGTTTCTAATTTAAATCATGTTTCTAGTAACCATGGATCAATAAAAAAATCATAAAAAGAATTATATTTTTCCTTGAGTAAAAAAGAAAACAATATATCAAAATTGGTGAAATGTAGCTAAATCAAGGCTTAGAGGAAATTGTCTAGCATTAAATACTTAATTAGAAAAGAATAAAGGTCTCAAATCAGTGTTCTAACCTTCCACCTGAAGAAGCTAAAATAGAAGACCAAATTAAACCCAAATTAGACAGAAGAAATAATGAAACAACACAAGATATTTATAGGTTAACTATAGCAATGTACAGTGGAATTTGGTGCAAATTATTTATTTTATTCTCAAATATAAATTTTCCTTAAAACAGTCACCAAATTTTTGAGAAGCAAAGTAATATTGATGGGGATTTTTATAATGAAACCCAATTCATAAAATGGTAAACTTTCTAATATGATTCATCTTTATGGAGATGAAAGTTTGTCTTAAAGATTGCCTAGTCAACTTAGCATACAAGGTTAAAAATTGCTCATTTCCTCTTGGAAAATAAACCTTTGTAACACTTTCATAATATTTCAAATAATCCATGATTTTTTACACATAGATTACTTTTAGAATCTGACTTCTTCCAAAGAAAAACGAAAGCTGCCCAATATTAAACCACTCATGTACTAGATTCTAAAATCTATGAAGCATGGGGCCATTTGGCAACTAGGAAGTAAATTATAATGAAAATCTTCAAACACTGCCAGGTGCAGTGGCTCACTCCTGAAATCTCAGCACTTTGGGAGGCTGAGGAGGGCAGATCACTTGAGGCCAGGAATTTGAGACCAACCTGGCCAAAATGGCGAAACTTCATCTCTACTAAAAATACAAAAATTAGCCAGGCATAGTTTCTCATGGCTGTAGTCCCAGCTACTAATATTTTTATTCTGGGATTTTTATTACTTGACACATTAATAAACATAGTTGTAAGAATCTCATTCTCAATTCAGTGTGCATCCATGATGCAGGTATACACACTCTACTTTTTATTATTAATACAAATAATGGGCTTTATTACAAGTCAACATTTGTTAAACTTTGCTTATAAACAAGATGATTCATCGTTAAGAGTCTCTACCTGCGAAAGCTTCTAAAATAGTAAACTTCAGGAGGTGGAAAAGGGAAAACAGAAGACACATTAATCCAACCTTTCCGTTGAGTGCTGTGTTCACTGAAAATTAAAACTAGATACTTAATAAAAGTCTCCTCCTGAAAAAAGCAACAAAAAGAGATGCATAATGATTAAATTAACTAAGGAATGACCAAAACAAAGTGCAGAAATCAAAGAATTTGAATTAAAAAGTATATTTGTGAGGAATACTAAATTAGAAATGATTATAATTTTACTGTTGTTGCTGATTCAATCCAAATCCAACTCTTAAAATGCCACAGTTACTTCTGTTTCCAAGAAAGACAGTGTAGATGGTTTTCATACTGACAAGCTTGAGTCTAGTATTATAATAGCCAAATCTAATATTATCATAGGTAAAGCCACAAAAACACTAATGTCAGGTAAACCAGATAAACATTCTGCATTATCTCTTATTTTTTCCTGTGTATGGGGCACCAAACTAAGGTCCTCTTGATGGAAATATTATGTTGTACTTACTCAAAAGCAATACATGAAAAGGTAATATATTTCTCTTTTATGGCATGGTTTTCACATAACTTTACATGTATTTAACAAATATTAAATGTCTATAAATAACTTGCTAAGTACCAACCCAGTCAAACATTTATAAATGTTGACTCATCTTCTGGCCTAAAATATTTTTGTTCACTTATTATAATTAATTTAAAAGTTGACACTCTTGGTTTTTAGTTCTGTTCCTGTTTTGTAAATCTTAGGACAGCCCATTGTCGAAAACAATAAAACTCTGACCTGACAGGAAAATGAACTTGAGTGCATTTGCAGGACATTCAAGAAGTCAGCTTGACTAAAACAGATTAAATTAAAAAGAATTTATTATGTGATGGAAGTTCAGAGACAGGAGTGCTAAGAAGTGAATGATTAATAAAGTTAAATGCAGGAAAGAAACCAAAGAGAATAAAGTAACAAAGGATGTTACTGGATCTAAAATTTTCTTATGAAGAATATGCATGAGAAAATTTCCTAAGACAGAAAACCACTTGAAAAGATGGTCATTTATTTGATCTGTGAAGGTAAGTCATAGTTAATACTTATCAAATTGAGTGATTTACTATGACAGCCTCATCCCATTGTCGAGTTGTTCCTCTGAATCAAGCGTGTCCTTTTTTTAAAAAAAAAAAAAAAAGCAGTTTAATAATTTTTTAAATTTTACTTTCAGATGCATCTTTTTGGAATTAAGATCAGTTGAATACAGATATAAATATCCTATTATATTCACTGTGGTTGGTGCAAAAGTAGTTGCGATTTTGAAAGCAATGGCAAAAACTGCAACTACTTTTGCACCAACCCAATAGTATGGCAATTTCCTAATTTCTAATTCAATTTTTCTTGCTATAGCTTAAGCAATTTTTTATTATGATCCATTTTTCTGAAATTATTCTGACTGATATTTATATTTTTAATAAAAGTAGCTGATTTTATCTAATTATATAAAGAATATTTTCCCGAGAAAAATCTCAAAAAAAATAAAATTATTTAAAAAGTAAAAGTCACCTGAATTTCACACCCTGTTATTAATGTTTTAGTGTCTCTCTCTCTCTCTCTCTCATGCATTTCTTTAACATTTTTCAATTTTGTTTAATAATTGCTTGGTGTTGTCATTTATATGGATCTGGATATTAAATATTGTGTCTGTAGTAGAATTCACTACATGGTTAACACAATATGATGTTCATGTCAATCTTCTACGTTTAAAAAAGGCAGCTGGTCATCTAGTTGTGACTCCTTCCATATCTATTCATGTGACTAGAACTGCAGTAGCATCCAAGAGTCATTTCCTGCTGTATATGTAATATCTGTAATCATTTAGGGGTTCTAGGTAACAGTTTTCTGTTTCATATCAGGTGATGGTTACTCATAGGAGAGTGAAAAAAGTGAAGGACAATATATTTTGTTCATTTATCCAACACATATTTAATGTCTACTTTAAAAACAAAACAAAATTTTGCTGCTCAATGGGTAAGATAATCTCAAAATATTATAGGTAACTCAAAAATCTATATGCATTGAGGAATTGTCCAGAATAAAGATTCATCTCCCTTCAAACTGTTGCCCAAATAATAAGCCATGACCTAGTATGATGTCATATTTACATATACATGATTAGATTACCTAAGAAACTAATCAATTATTGCTTAATAAATGAAGGTTTTTATTCTATTAAAGGTAAAAATGATAGAGAAAAAGAAAAATTGACATCTATTGGGCACTTCTACATAGTTTATCTCACTTAACCCTCAGTACTACCTTCCCAGAGAAGTAGTAGAGCTCTCATTTTTATAAATAAGAAAACAAAGAAAATAAGTATTTGACCAAAGGCACACAACTAAGTCTATGACAAAAGAAAGATTTAAACCCACATCCATATGACACAAAGCCGCATATTTCTATTATTCCATATAGGTTCGCAGATGAAAAAAATGTATATTAAGCATGTTAGAAACTCTTCCTTTAGTCTAATGACAAGGTTCTACAGACTGCTATGCTGTAATGTGTAAGAGTAATGAAAAGCTATTTTGGTGTTTTGATGACTCCCAAGGATTGGATATATCAGCCAAGGGGTAGTCAGTAGATCTTTAAAGTAACTTAAGTAATTATATCAACTACATAAACACCTTGTAAAATCATTTTTCAAAGTTAATAAAGAAGTTCTGCTTTCTATTTGGAAGTTTTAAATAGCTAAAGGCAATGTCATAAATACAGAAGTTAAATCTATATTTTGTAAAAAGTAAAAAAGCTAAAAGCTTTGTGGCTTTTATTGACTATTTCTACTCACTAGGGGAAGAGAAGTTAAAAATTATGTAGAAAGTGTCAATACCTTTATTAAAGATTTGCAACATGTCAGCAATTTTGGCTTTATGTCATTGAATCTTCACAAAAATCCTCTTCTATATGAAGAAATAAAAGTTTAAAGTAGATACCACACTCCAGTGCCCACAGGCTGAACCCAGCCAAAGAGGTATTGTTTTAAATATTTTAATTACTTGCCAATATTTAAAAACTAGGGCATTGAAGACAGAAATGCATATATCTATCTACTCTTGAAAGATTTAACATTGAGCATGAAAAAAATACTTCAGATCACCAAATCCTTGACCTGCCAACTTCACTCATTTCACTTTTAACAAATCACATAGGTATTTAAGTTTATGATCCCTGGCTTAATTTATGGTCCAAGGTTATATTGGTAGGAAGTGAGTGACAAGGTTGAAATATTAAGCCACATCTGCTTCTGTCGAAGGTTGATGCTCTCGTTTACAGGTTTCTGTAAGTTCATAATGTATAGAGAAGATTTACATTGAAATTTTCCATAAGTTATTCTTATCTCTCTGCTGTCTTTTATGAATCACTGTTGTATGCAACATTTTCCTAAATACCAAATATTTTATCTCAACCATCTTGATTTTCAGCTGAATTATTCACTTTTCCCATATATTGTGTATAAACTCAAGTCAAAATAAAAGTGGAAAATCATAAGTTAATATCAATATTTTTCTACATCATTTAGGTATGTCATAATAATTCTAAGAAATGCTCAGGTAACACTGAAAAGCCTTTTTCAATTTCAGTGAAAATTGCAAATAATCTTTGCACACAGATTTCCCTCTTATATCAGTATAATGAACCAAATCCTTATAGTGCTTAAAATTTGGGTTAAAATTGACTTCATTTGCTGGGTCTTCCCCAAGCACCTTTAAGATTTAAGAGAACTTCCAAAGACACCCACAGATAATATCTAAGTAACTGACATCATAGAGGAATGACATAATATGTATATATTTAACACTGAATGTATGGACGTAAGTGCAAAGAATACGATTTTCTTTTCTCTTTCTTTCTTTCTTTGTTTCTTTCTTTCTTTCGTTCTTTCTTTCTCTTTCTTCCTTCCTTCCCTTCCTCCCTCCCTCCCTCCCTCCTTCCTTCCTTCCTTTCTTTTCCATTTTTTTTTTCCTTGACGGCATCTAGCTCTGTCTCCAGGCTGGAGTGCAGTGGCGCGATCTCGGCCCACTGCAACCTCCGACTCCTGGGTTCAAGCAATTCTCCTGCCTCAGCCTCCCGAGTAGCTGGGATTACAGGCACGCACTGCCATGCCCAGCTAATTTTTGTATTTTTAGTACAGACGGGGTTTTACCATGTTGGCCAGGCTGGTCTCAATCTCCTGACCTCGTGATCCGCCCGCCTAGGCCTCTCAAAGTGTTGGGATTACAGGCGTGAGCCTTCGCTCCTGGCCAAGGGTATGATTTTCATACAATCATAGGTACAGAGATATGCCCTTCAGCTTAAAGAGGGTAGCTTTGTCAAGATGGGAAGCTTAAAGAAATGCACATCAAATAACCTATTAACTGCATTATTACTGAAGCACTTTCAAAGAACTGACCTCATTATGAGCCACAGCATTTTTTTTAAGACATCTGCAAACAAAGTTGTTTTGGCTACTATTTAAATATAGATGATCCAAGAAAACAAATGAAAAAGTTACTTTGTTTGGCATTAAGTGTTCTATAACCCCTATGAGCACACTGTTATTAAAATAAACCCCAGATGGCTGGCTTTGCATTTTTGTATGTTTATGGTGGCAAACATATATCATCTTGTACTTCAATATATTAAAACCATCTTATTGCTAAGAAAAGCTACTAGTTTACAAAACAAATAAAATATAATCAAATAACATTGTCATGAAAAGTAATCAAAAAAATAATTACTCTTGACTTCACTGAGAGGCAAACCTCACCATGTTGAAATATAATTGTATGAAGTAAGTAGTAATATTGCCCTCTTAAATATGTTTTAGAAAATCAAAGGTTGGGGTTTAGTAAAATATCTCCATAGTAAAATTATGTTAACATTTTAAAAATTATTTCAGGAAACAATGTAAGACCAGAAATTTTTAATATACTCCATCATAAAACTTTTACTTTAAGAAGATTTCACCAAAATTTCATTAGTCTCATCCAACAAAGTTAAAACATCACTAATTATCAGAGAAATCGAAATTAAAATTAAACCACAATAAGACATCATCTTACATCAGTCAGAATGGCTACTATTAACAAGTCAAAAACAATAGATGTTGGCAGGGATGTGGAGAAAAGGAAACACTCATACAATTGGTGGGAATGTAAATTAGTTCAACCTCTGTGGAAAACAATATGATGCAATCTCACTACTGAGTATATACCTAAAGGAAAAGAAATCATTATTTTAAAAAAGACACCTGCACTTATATGTTCATCACAGCAATATTCATATGGCAAAGTCATGGAACCAACTTAAGTGTCCATCAGTGATTGACTGGATAAAGAAAATGTGGTACATTTATAGCATTGAATGCTGTGGTATATTCCCTGCTGCGTATGTACCACATTTAAAAAACTATAAAAAAGAATAAATAATATCCTTTGCAGCAACATGGAAGCATCCAGAGGCCATTATCCTAAGTGAACTAACTCAGAAATAGAAAATCAAATACTGTATGTTCTTACTTATAACTGGGAGCTAAACAATGGGTACACATGGATGTAAAGTTGTAAATAAAAGACACTGTTTAGTCCAAAAGCAGGGAGGGTAAAAGATGGGGTTAGAGTTGAAAAACTATCCATCAGGTACAATGTTTACTATTTGGGTAATGAGTACACTAGAAGCCCAATCCCTACAATATACTCATGTAACAAACATACACATATACCCATTGAATCTAAAATAAAGTTTTATTTTAAAAAATGTATGGATTTTTTAAAATAATATTTTGAATAAGATCACATCAATTAGAGGTGAATGTACCCTAAATCTTTCTGAATGCTCTACACATCCAGAATCATGAGTGTCTTCATAACTAATGTAGAAGCTTCTTTAATTTCCTGACCCTTTATTTCCTGTATGTGGCCCTTCACCTGCATATTTTTCAACAGAGTCTACCTATAGTAATGAAAAGTTGTATTAAAAAAATGACCTGAGATATGTCAGAAAGATGAAGAAATTATCCCTATCCTATCTTACTCCTATCCCCCCACAACACCACAAATTCTGCATGCATCTACAGACAAAAGTGTCTCTGAAGAAGCCTCAGAATTCAAGTAGGAAATTTTGAAACCACAATGGAGACTCAGACCTAGGAATGCAGTTTTGAGAGTACAGGCCAGCATCCAGGTACCAGACTCACCAGCTGTGTTTTTGGTTTCAATCCCAGAAACAGCCCCATTCCCCAAACAGCTTGATTACAGCCCCACCTGGTCTTGATCCTGCAACCAAAATGATACGTCAAGAGGTCCAGGAGAAATAATACTCACTAGTGCCTCAGCAGAAAGTCTTGCCTGCCAGCTAACATTGGTCTCAGCAGTGAGCCTGAAAGTTTACCTGTGGCTTGGTGCCAACACCCCAAGCTGAGGTCCCAGCTTAGAGCTGCTCTTGCAAGGACCCAGAGAGATGTTCACTTATATCTCACAGCTCAGGAATATGACCATCCATGATGGGATCACCAGCCTCCATCCCACAGCATATCCTGAAGAGGTCTAGTCTTAGCCCTGGCCCCTCCCACTGTAGTCAGACAACTATCCTGCCTGTGGAGGGACCTGCAGGGAGATGTGTGCCTGGCAGAGCCAATGAGACAGGCTTGCCAGCCCCCATCTCATAGCAGATCCTGAGGGGGCACACTCTGGGCTCCAGTATTTTTTGCTGCAGTCAGAAAACTACTGCATTTCTGAAGGATACATCTAGAAGGTGCACCTCTCTAGGCAGCTGGAATAGGCTACCAGGTTCAGGTCCCTGATCAGCTTTCCCACATAGCTAGGATACTCCCCTTGGGTCTTCCCCAGGTTCATTTGGGTCAGAGAACCATACCAACCTAAGAGCCCTTGTGGATCTCACAGCAAACCTGGGCTTAGACCTCTAGACCACCCTTTAGTGTTTAGATAGCTACAGTGGTCATGAACTCAGGGAATGCAACAATCAATCTGCTTAGAATCCCTGAAAGGCACACTGAAGAAGGAAGGGCACAAAAAAGCCATACTGTGAAGACTGGAATAAATAACCCCTCAATGGGCAGACAATGTTACACATTCACAAGCATCAGAAACATTCAGGTAAATATGACCTCACCAAACAGACAAAATAAGCTGCCAGAGACTGACCCTAAAGTGATGTGTGATCTCTCAAAAAAAGAATTCAAACAGTTGTTTTAAGGAAGCTTAACGAAATTCAATAAAATGCATGGAAACAATTCAGAAACTGAACAGAGAAATTTAACAGAAAGATTGAGATAATTTTTAAAAAATCAAAGAGAAATTCTGGAGCTGAAAAATATGGTGAATGAAATGAAAAATGCAATACAGAACATCAACAGCAGAATTGATCAAACAGAAGAAAGAATCAGTGAGCACAAAAACAGGCTATTTGGAAATACACAAAGAGAGAAAAATAAAAAAAGAATAAAAAGGAAAGAAGAAAGCCTACAGCATCTGTGGGATAGTATCAAAAGAGCAAATACTTGAGTTACTGAAGTCCAAGGGGGGATTAAGAAAAACAAAAGGATAGAAAACATTCAAATAAATAATAACAAAAAACTTTCTAAATATGCAGAAAGATATAAATATCCAGAAAGATATAAATATCCAAGTACAGGAAGGTCAAAGGTCACCAATCAGATTCAATTCAAATAAGACTACTTAAGGATATATCATAATCAAACTCTCAAAGTTCAAAGACAAAGAGTGGATCATCAAAGCAGCAAGAGAAAAGAAGGAAATAACATATAAGACAGTTCAAATATGCATGGCAGCAGACTTCTCAGAAGAAATCTGGCAGTCCAGGAGAAAGTGAAACAATATATCCAGAATGCTGAAGAAAAAAATATTGCCAATCAAATATACTGTACCCAGCAAAGCTATCCTTCAGAAACAGAGGAGAGATAAAAACTTTCCCTGAAAAACAAAAGCTGAAGGAATTCATTGCTACGAAACCTGTCCTACAAGATATGTGAAAGGAATTTCTTCAAACTGAAAAAAAATGATGCTAATGTGTAACATGAAAATTTCTGAAGATATAACACTCACTTGTAAAAGTAGGTGTACAAACTATACTTACTTTAATACTTACTCTAATACTATACGTGTTGTGTAAACCACTTACATCTTTGGTATGAAGGCTAAAATAAACAACTATTAAAAATAATAACAACGAGGCGGGCGGATCACGAGGTCAGGAGATCGAGACCACGGTGAAACCCCGTCTCTACTAAAAATACAAAAAATTAGCCGGGCGTAGTGGCGGGCGCCTGTAGTCCCAGCTACTCGGGAGGCTGAGGCAGGAGAATGGCGTGAACCCGGGAGGCGGAGCTTGCAGTGAGCCGAGATCCCGCCACTGCACTCCAGCCTGGGTGACAGAGCGAGACTCTGTCTCAAAAAAAAAAATAATAATAATAATAACAACATTAATTTGTTAACAGGCCATATACAAGATCTAAAATGTGAAACCAAAAATTCAAAATGGGGAGAAATGGAGTTAAAATCAAAATAACTTGTTATTACTAAAAGACACTTTTGTAATCCCCATGATAATCACAAAGCAAAAACCTATAATAGATATATTAAAAATAACAAACAAGAAATCAAAGCATACTACTAGAGAAAATGACTTAACTACAAAGGAAGGCAGTAAGAGAAGAAAAAAAGGAAAAAAAAACTCTAGAAAACAAGTAACAAAATCGCGAGTAAGTTCTTACCTATCAATAATTATCTTGAGTGGATTAAATGTAACTGTAAACATAAATGTAAATGGGTTAAATTCATGTAAATGTATTAAATTCTCCAATTAAAATACATAAAGTGGCTGATGGAACAAAACTCAACTATATGCTGCTTACAAGACATGTATTTCACCTGTAAGGACACACATAGAATGAAAGTGAAGGGATAGAAAAAGATATTCCATGCAAATGAAAACCAAAAAAGAGCAGGAATAGCCATATTTATATCAGATAACAGATGTTAAGTCAAAAACTGCAAAAAGAGACAAAGAATTCCATTATATAATGATAAAGTGATCAATACAGTGAGAAGAGACAACAATTGTAAATATATATGCACCCAACATTGGAGCACCTAACTATATAAAGCAAATATAGTTAGAACTAAAGGGGGAGACTGACTGTAGTATAATAATAGTAGGAGACCTCAACATCCCATTTTCAGCAATGGACAGGTTATCCAGACAGAAACAATAACAAAAAAGAAATGAAGTTAAACTGCAACCTACACCAAATAGACTCAACAGACATTTTCAGAATAGACTATCCAACATTTGCAGAATACACATTTTTCTTGATACCACTTGGAACATTCTCTAGGATAAACTATATGTTAGAGCAAAAACAAGTTTTAAATTTTTTAAAAAATTGAAAAAATATCAAGTACCTTCTGACCACAATGGATGAAAACTAGAAATTAATAACAAAAAAATTCAAACTCTACAAATACATGGAAATTAACCAACATGCTCTTGAAACCAATGGGTAAATAAAGGAATTAATTTAAAAAATTTAAAAATTTGTTCAGACAAATGAAAATGGATAAACAACATACCAAAACTTATGGGGTACAGCAAAAAGCAGTACTAACAGGGAAACTTATAGCAGTAAATGCCTACATCAAAAAATTAGAAGAGTTCAAATCATCTAACATTGTGCTTCAAAGAAGTAGAAAGACAAGAACAACTTAACCCAAATTAATAGAAGAAAAGAAATAATAAAAATTTAAAAAAATAAGTAAAGTTTAAACAAATTACAAAAAAACAACAAAACAGTTACTTTCTTGAGAAGATAAACAAAACTGACAAACTTAGCTAGACTGAGAAAAAAAGAGAATACTCAAATAAATGAAATCAGAAATGAAAAAGGAGGTACTGCAGTTAATACCACAGAAATACAAAGGATCATTAAAAGCTATTGTGAACAACTATACATTAATAAGTTGGAAACCCTAGAAGAAATAAAGAAATTTCTGTGTACACACAATCATGATTGGATCACGAGAAATAAACCACCTGAAAAGACTGATAATGAGTGACAAGATCGAATCAGAAATAAAAACTTTCTCACCAAAGAAAAGTCCAGGACCTGATGGCTTTACTGTTGAATTCTACCAGACATTTAAAGAAGAGCTAATATCAATTCTTCTTAAACTCTTCAAAAAATTAAAATGGATGGAATTCTCCCAAACTCATTCTACAATGCCAGCATTACCCTGATACCAAAAACAGACAAGCTCACAACAACAACAAAATACTACAGGCCAATATCCCTGGCTAATATAGATGTAAAAATTCTCAACAAAATACTAGCACACCAAATCCAATTACATATTTAAAAGACCATGATCAAGTTCACCATGATCAAGTGCAATTCATCCCAGGGATGCAAAGATGCAAATCATTAAATGTTACATATCACAGCAACAAAATAAAGGACAAAAACTTTATGGTTATCTCAATAGACATAGAAAAAGCATTTAATAAAATGCAACATGTACTTGTGATAAAAACTCTCAACAAATTAAGTATAGAAGTAATATAGTTATATATATGTATATAATACTGAACAAATAAACAAGAAATAAAGAATTTTGAATACTGGTCATATTCTTAGATCACAGTATTGTCATAGGATCCTTCAGGTGTTGCTTTGCTGTCCAGAAACCTCTGTGACCAGCAGCACCTTGTTCCATCCATTCAGCCCAGTAAGCTGTGCTCAGCTCATGCTACTGGCCCAGATCCCACACTTGCCAAGGGTGAGCCAGGTGTGGAGTGGAGAAGGGTGTATGAGTGAGTGAGTGTGGGGTCTGGCCACTGCACACAGTCAGGCATGCCGGCTGCTGCAGTGGGGCAGACAGCTCCCAATGCCAGCACAGGTACTGGCTCTGTGGGAGCCTGCAGCTGGACCAGACATACTACAAGCAGCTTCCACTACAGGCACCAGCGTCTGGACAAGAGAAATGTGATGGTGTCCAAAAGCTTAGAGACGCCAAGAAGAACAGAACCCAAAGAGGGTATTATAGTGTATCACAACCCTGGCTTGGGGACCCCACGTCTGTGGGGCCCCAGGTCTGGCTTGGGGACCCCAGAGGTCTGGGCTCCCAGAAAGGCAGCAGCTTTTCTCTCCTTCTTGTCTCCTGCAGCATGGTGAGCTGGGGCAGGGAGGTATGTTTCATAGGGGCATGTTTCAGCCAGTTTGTGTTACAGCTCCTTCAGTCCCGCCACCTTGCTCTGGCCTGTGGCTCCTGGGCTGGCCCATCCCTGCCACTACTTCCTGTCATAGGATGCAGCCACCTGGCACCAGTGGATGGTAGGAAGGCTATAGTGTTACAGCAGCTCTGGCTCCAGGAATCTCTAGGTCTAGGTCCCCAGAAGGGTCAGTACTCTTCACTCCTGCAATCTGGGAGCATGTCACTGCCCACAGTTTGGCAAGCCAGCCAAGAACCTGTTATAATTCTTTTAACTCCTGTTGTTCAGTAGGTCCTGAGTTCTTCTCTTGTGTCCAGGAAGAATGAGGTTATGTGAACAACTGGAAGGTAAGCAAGGTGGAAAGGAGCTTTTTTGAGCAACAGAACAGCTCTCAGCAGAGACGGCAGTTCCTATTCACAAGCAGGTCATCCTGACAAGTTTCTGAGTCTGGCTGAGTCTGGGGTTTTTATGGGCTCAGAAGGAAGTGTGTGCTGATCGATCTATGGGTGGCCATCAGTGGGCCTGGAAAAAGCACTCTCCAACTGGTTGAAAAACATCAAGGAAGTACTCACTCCAGGTTGCAAACTCCATCTGGAAATGGCAACCCAGCCCAGCCCCCAGGCTTTAGGCCATGCCTGTTTTGAAGGTGAGGCTTCGCTGGGGACCCCCCTCTTCCCATCTAAGCATCTGCCTGCCTCCTGCTGCCATCAACATGCCATCTATAACACCGGTGCTGTCCCTGCCAAGGGGCACCTGTGGGTCCACGCCAAGCCTCCCTCCCATGCTCATTGGTGCCTAAAGTCTGGAAGGGGCTGAGGCAGCAGGGGGCCAGCATGTCAGTGCCACCCCAAGTGCATGCACTCCTGGCTAGGTTGCAACTGCACCTGGGCTCAGCTACAACTTTGCTCGCACCAGAGCAGGTGCTGGGATCAAGGAGAGGCCAGGAAACAAGAATAGACACTCTCAAGCCTGCAGGGGCAGGGGGCTTCCTGGGGCCCCAAGAGCACAGGGATGCCCAGGTCTGGAGCCATGGCTGGCCAGCTGCAGCTGCGCCCAGGAGGGCAAACTCCCAGCCTATCAAGTCAACTTAGTAGGGTGCAAGGCTTCCACTGGGATCACCTGTTCCTGGCCCCCAATAGCTCCGCAGAGCATGAAGCCCTGCCACGCCTCCCCAACTGCAGCTGGTGTCCTCACAGCAGCTGATCCAGACAGGCCACCACTGCCATCAAGATGAAAATGTGCCCAAAGGATCTCATTGATGATTTCTAAAAACTAAGGGAAGAAATCAATGTCCCCTATTTACTACCCATGAATAATTTTTAAACTGCTACATCTATAAAAAATCTAAGAATCTGGAAAACGTGCATGGCCATCTTAGAGATAATAATAATTTTGTCTAAAACATTTGAATGTCTGTGACTCTGAATTAACACAAACAAGAGTGAGATGGCTTTCCTTTTTCTTTTTTAGGTAAGTCTAAAAGTAGTCTGAGAGCAATTGAAGGTCTTGGGTATTAAAATGGAGAAGACGGGTTAGACTGCCAATTCAGCAATGAACAAAACCAATATGTGGTTTTAATTACAGTTGTCAGGGGAGGAAAATAATAACATGTCAGCAAATTAAAAAAGAAAATTCTATATATTGATAAGTTAGGTGGTAAGAAATGAAAGTGAATGATGTGTTAAAGACAATCTAGGAGATTCTTCAAGATGAGATGTTATAAACAGCCTCCCTGAGGAGGAAATTTTTGAGATGAAACATAAATAAGAAGAAATGCCTCCTATTGAAGATGAGGAGGCAGAATGTTCCAGGTAGAGGAAATATGCATTTTATCAGACATATATGAAGATTAAAGGAAATAGTACAAAGGGATTAATACAGTGGCTGGATATATAGAAAGCACTCTACAACCAGTAACTAATCAAAGGAAAATATTTGCTTATCAATGATCCTCATAATATACATAATTCCTATATGCCACATCTTTGAACATGAAAGTAGGCATATATTTGCATCCATGAAGCTCATCTCTTTGTGACTGATTATTATGGAATGTGGCATATCATATTAATTAATTAATTAATTCTGCCTCTTCATCCCAGATAACAATGTATGGGTAGTGGAGGGAAATTCACATTACTGGAATAGCAAAGATAGAACAGGCCAAGAGAAAATGAAACATCAGGAAAGGAAAAAAAGGAAATGGTTTTAGATTAGGAAAGAAAGAAGGAAGATGGTTTTATGAGTTGTGGTCAAAAGTGAACCCATGAGGCAGAATCCAAGCTATGTTCATCCACTTACCACTACCTCATTCTATATGAAAAGAAGAAAGAAAGACAAAGGGATGTGTGTGTGCGGCGGGGGGCGGCAGCTAAAATGGTGGAATATTTTTCGTATATTATCTTATTTATCCCTCACTCCAGTCTTATTGAAACTACTTGTATCTCCACTTAAAAACTTAGCTTACATAACTATCTGAGTTTAAACAATTCATTTTCCTAACGTGTAACTAGAATTGGCTAGACAATCTTGAAGCATTCCATATAGTTCTAAAAGCTCATGATTCTGATGATAGAAAAAGTTATCCATGTAAGCAATGATAATGGATATGAAGTTTCTAAAAAAAATGGTTATATGACCTATCAGTCTTCATAAAGAGGGGCTTCCAGAATATTTAGCTGGAAACTACAGTCCTAGAAACATGAAACTCAGTTTCTTGAGAAATGGATGAGGAATAAAATATTCAGACTGGGAAGGCCTGGAAAAAGGCCTTCAGAGATTTTGGTGAAAATCTGAATAGCCATCCAAACTAATCAAGTTTTTTCCAAACCAAATATTCAGGCCTTTTGAAGTTTGCCAGTTACTAATCAAAACCCCACTAAACACTTAGTATCTCAGACAGTTTTAAATAACATCAAACCAACTGTCATGTAATATAATGAGTAAAGTCAAATCTGGATTTTGTGTTAAGCTACACAGACACACCAAAACTTGTCTGTGGTTGCATGGGCCAAGTTAAAAAAAATCAAGATAATTTTAATTACTTAAGTTGTATCACTCTTAAATCATTCCACTTATTTTTTTAAAGGGGCTAAGAAAATCAACTTTCCATAAAAACAGAATTATTAATAATAACTATTTGGAAAATGAATAGTTAAAGACTTCAATTATTGTTTAATACTGTTGCAAACACATTGTAATAACTTAAGATTTACTAATGATTAAATGGAAGGCTTAATTGTCCAAGGTTATGATTTATAGGGCTGGGTAGGCAAAATTTAAATTTGTAAATTAATACTTCTACTTTTATATTAATATATTTCATTCTCTCTTAAAATAGATTATAAAAATATTTTATTGTAACAGAACTGTGATATCAATCAGCTTTCTGTGACCATAGTATAATTCTTCTTATGGTTAATTTTCTTTAAAGCATTATTCAAAAATCCCAACTAAATGATGAAAGTATTTCAATATAATCTTCATATATTTTATTGATTTAATTTGACATGAAATAAATGTATTACCACAAAATGCTACTACTGTCATTTTTTTTCACTTTTAATCAACTCATTTCTTTGCTTAAAACAAAATTAATGAAATATCAAAATGGAAAAGCATTCTGTTTTACTGAAGGAACAAAATTTAGTCTTACTGAAACACAGGTTTTCTGGTTTCCCAATATAAGTTCCATATGTACTTATGTTAAAGTGAGAAAAAAAATAAAAAGTTACGTGTGTGTGTATGTGTGTGTGAGTGTATGTGTGTTTGTCTAAACTTACCTAGAAAGGTAAAGGAAAGAGCACTGGGAGTTCTAAGATCGTCATCGTGTTGCTGCCTTCCTCTCCCTCAAGGGTCACCCATTGGGGCACGAAGGACAGCACAACCAAGAGGCCACTTCTAAGAAGCCTCCAGTCACTTGCTGTCATGCTTTTCTATCTGAGTTCTCTACATAGTGCTTATTTAATATTATCTTGCTTATTTAATTATTTCTTCTTTGTTAGTTGGTTGCTTTTCATCTACTCCCACTACACAATATAAGTTTCATGGCGGCAATCATCCTATTTCTCTTCTTCAGTATATATCCTCAATGGTTGGCAACTTATCAGCCTTTAATTTGGTAATGAGTGAATGCACTACATACCACCAGCAAAACTGAAAAGCATACAACTTCCAAATATGTAAGAAGCAAAGGAAAACAGCTAAAACAAAAAAATGGTAAAAATAAAATGAGATCAGAAGAAATACAAGTATTTCCAGCTCTTTCAATAAATAGATAGAATAACAGATAATCCAACTAGTTTTTTAAAGCAGCTTTTTGTTGTTTTCAAACACTATACCCTAAACAGTGACAAAGAAAGATTGAAAATAAAGGAATGAAAGAATGCAAACAAAATCACAATTATACAGTAAATATTAGATATCAATAGTGAGATAATTAATATTAAAGTGAAATTTAATGCTAATGCATAGAAATAGGGAGACATTATAACATAAAACATCATTAAGAATATAATTGGTCAATTAATCAATTTAACTGATTCAAAATATAGACAGTCCCCAACTTACAGGGGTTCAACTTGAGAGTTTTCAGCTTTATGATGATGCGAAAATGATTCACATTCATTAGATACTATGACTGGAGTTTTGAATTTTGATCGTTTCCTGGACTAGCAATATGCGGTATGACACTCTCTCAAGATGCTGGGCAGCTCCACGAGGCACAGCTGCCAGTCAGACACACAATAATGAGGGTAAACAACCGATATTCTACAGTGTTACTGTGTTGCTAGACAGTTTTGCCAACTGTAAGCTAGGTGTTCTGAGCAAGTTTAGGATAGGCTAGACTGAGCTATGACATTCAATAGGTTAAGCATATTTTTGACTTAATGTTATGTTCAATTTACCATGGGTTTATGGGGATGTAACCCCACCATAAGTTATGGAGCATTTATATTTTATAGGTATATGTATATATTTTGTTCGTACATATAAGCATTAAAAGCAGAGAACATACATTCTTATGTTCATAGAACTTAAAAACATGCATTATCTTTATAACAGGTCACAATCTTAAAATTCTAAAAATTTTTAAATGGAGATATTTCATAGGTCTTATTCTTTAAACATACTCTAATAAAATTTTATATAAAAAATACAAAATATATAAATTGAAAAATTTCTGACTTAGAAAAACAGAAATTACAAACTATCCAGAAAATAATTTAAAGCCTCACACTAAATGTGTGGGATGCTGCTCAAATAAGGCTCAGATAAAGATTTATAGCTGAAATGAATTTATTATCAAATAAAAATAACAAATATTTAGGAAAAAAGTAAAAATAACATAATAAACCAAAATACAAAAAGATAATAGCATTAATGAAAGAAAAAAGGAAGTTGAAAGAGACAGAAAAGAGGTAGAAAGAATAAACAAAACAAAATTACTTAAGAAAAAGTAGACCAAGCTAAAAATCACAGAAGAGATGGGAAATACAAAGGCCTAGTATACATTTTTTATCAGTGTAGTTTTTATAGCTGTATTTTATTCCAACTTTAAAGAACAAATACTTTATAATTATCATCACTTTTCTATCATATAGAAAAGAAAAATTCTCTAGTCTATTATAGCAAGCATATTTTGATTCCAAAATTGAATTAAATATAGACCAAAAGGAAAGAAGAGGAAGAGAAGAAACAAAAAGAGAGGAACCAGGGAATGTACGAAAGAAGGGAGGGAAGTATTGGCATAAATATAGACATTACTATATCTAAAAAAAAAAAAAAAAAAAAAATGGCGGGGCACGGTGGCTCACGCCTGTAATCCCAGCACTTTGGGAGGCCAAGGCGGGTGGATCACAAGGTCAGGAGATCGAGACCATCCTGGCTAACATGGTGAAACCCCGTCTCTACTAAAAAAAAATACAAAAAAATGGCCGGGCATGGTGGCTGGCACCTGTAGTCCCAGCTACTCGGGAGGCTGAGGCAGGAGAATGGCGTGAACCCGGGAGGCGGAGCCTGCAGTGAGCAGAGATCGCGCCACTGCACTCCAGCCTGGGTGACAGAGCGAGACTCCGTATCAAAAACAAAAACAAAAACAAACAAACAAAAACTATTACTAAAGGATCTACATTCCTTGCATGAGGGTTTCAGTTTCTCCACACCCCATCAACATTCTCATTGTTCATCTATTTTACTTTCATTGTCCATTCTAGTAAAAGTGGAGTGGTGTCTTCTTGTGGTTTTGATTTGCATTTAACTATTGACTAATGATGTGAGCATCTATTTATGTACTTATTGCAAATTTGTATTTTTTATTTGGAGAAGACCCCTTTCCCCATTTTTAACTGAGTTATATTTTTTGTATTCTTGAGTTGTAAGCATTCTTTATGTATTCTGGATGCTAGTTTCCAAATGATGAAGCTTAATTTACCTATTTTGTTGTTTTTGCTTGTGCTTTTGGTATTATATTTGTGACCTCGCCTAATCCAAGGTCACGAGAATTTATGCCTCTATTTTCTTCTAAGTTTTATAATTTTAGCTCTTACATTTAGGTTTATGAAGAATTTTGAGTTAATTTTTGAATATGATGTAACACAGGAGTTCAAATGTATTCTTTGGCATGTTAGTATACAATGGTCCCTGCATAAATTGTTGAAAAAATATTCTTTCTATTGTATTTCTTAGCAACCTTGTCAAAAACAATTGACTACAAATTTAAGGATTTATTTCTGTACTCTGAATTCTATTCCCTCAATCAGTATGTCTATTATTGTGCCAATATAACATTTTTTTGATTACTGTGACTTTGCAGTAAGTTTTGAAATTGGAAGTGTGAGTACTCCAACTTTTCATCTTTTTCAAGATTATTTTGGCTACTCTGGGTCCCTTGCTTTTCCATGTGAGTTTTAGGTCAGCTTGTCCATTTCTGGAAAAAAAAAAAAAAAAAACAGCTGGGATTTTGATGGAAGATTATATTGAATCTATATATCATTTGAGCACAATGCCATTTTAACAATATGAAATCTTCTGATCCATGAACATCGAATGTCTTCTCATTTATTTAAATCTCCTTTAATTTATTTTAACGATGTTTTGTAGTTTTTAATTTACAAGTGTTAAACTTATTTTTAAAATTTATTCATAAGTACATTTTTCTCCTTGATGTTACTGTAAATGGAATTTCTTTTTAAAATTTTGTTTTTGGATACTTCATTGATATTGTATGAAAATACAGTTGATATTTATATTTATATATTGATCTTGTATTCTGCAACTTGCTGTATTCGTTTATTACCTCTAATAACTGTGTGTGTGTATTCCTTAGGATTTTCTGTAGGCAATACACCTGTCACTTGCTAATAGAGATAGCTTATTTTCTTTCTTTTAAATTTGAATGCCTTTTATTTCTCCTCTTGCTTAACTGCTCTAACTGGAACCTTCGTTACAATGTTTAATAGAAGCGAAGAAATTAGAAATCCTTGTCTGGTCCCTGATCCTAGTGGAAAAGCTTTCAGTCTTTTATAATTTATGATGTAAACTATGAGTTTTTCATAGATGCACTTAGTTTGAGAAAATTAAAACACTCACTTAGGTTGAGTGTTTTAAAAACAGCACTTAGGTTGAGAAAGTTAAAACATTCACTTAGGTTGAGTGTTTTAAAAAACAGCACTTAGGTTGAGAAAGTTAAAACACACAATATTAGTGTGTTGAGTGTTTTTATCTTAAAAGATTGTTGGATTTTGTTAAATGCTATCTCGGTATATATTGAGATAATTTTAGGTGGGTTTTGTCCTATAACATACTAATATGATATATTATATCATTTGATTTTTGCAGGTGAAGTCAACATTGCATTTCTGGGCTAAATCCTACTTGGTTGTCATGTATAATCCAAATTTATTTTGCTGGTTCTGTTTGCTATCATTATCCTGATGATTTTTGCATCTATGCTTGTAGGATATATTGGTCTATAGTTTTTTCTTGTGACATCTCTAGTTTTGTTAAAATGGTAATACTAGCCTCATTAAATGAGTTAGGAAGTGTTACCTAGTCTTAAATTTTGGGGAAATGTTTGTGAAAATTGGTGTTACCTTTTCTTTAAATGTTTGGAAGAATTAACCAAATAAGCCATTTGGGCCCGTGCTTTTCTTGTGAAAAGGTTTGGTTTTGGTTTTTCTGTTTTATTTTATTTATTTATTTATTTTTTAACTAATTCAATCTCTTTACTTGTTACAGGTCAATTAAGACTTCTACTGTCTCTTGCATTAGTTTCAGTAGTTTACATTTTCCAGGAATTAGTTCATTTCATTACGTTATCTCTTGCGTTGACATACAAATGTGTATACTATTACTTTATAATTCTTTCTTATTTCTGTAGGGTTAATAGTAATATTTCCTCTTTTATTTCTTTTTCATTTTTTTCTGTATCTTTATTTTTATTTTTTGTTTTTAATTGACAAGTAATAATTGTGTATATTTACGGAGTACAATGTGAGATTTTGATATATGATAGATTTGTTAATTAGCTTGATTTATTCCTGATTTTAGTAGGTTAAATCATCTCTCTTTTTTCTTGATCAGTCTAGCCAAAGTTTTGTCAACTTTGTTCACCTTTTCATAGAAACAACTTTTGGTACTGCTAATTTTCTTGTTTGTTTTTCTATTGTCTATTTCATGTATGTCTGCCCTAATTTTTATTTCCTTGCTGCTTTATTTAGGCTTTTATTTTTTTTTTTTGCTCTCGTTTTTCTAGTTAAGATGAAGTTTGGGTTACTGATTTGAGATCTTTCATAATATAAGCATTTATAGCTATATATTTCCCTCTAAGGATTGCTGCATCCCATAAGTTTTGGTATGTTACAGAACTGTTCTTAGGGTGTCCTTTTGAGGAGGTAGCTATCAGATAATAAGGATTCAAAGGGCTTTATGCTTGTATTTCTTGTATTTCTTTACCCAAGTTTTCTGTGGATTTAAAATTGGTCAATTTTCAATCACACAGGCTAATATTCTGTTCATATGAAACTCCTCTACAGTCAGACTGCTACTATCTCCTGAATACAGAGAAGCAACTAGGAGGAAGAGTTGGACAAACATCTTCACTTCCAGAGTCAGCTAAAAACTGTTTTTGATCATTCATTCAATTTTAGTATCTGAAGATAGGTTACATGATGGTGATTAAATATTCTGACAGACAGAATAGTGTGATGACATAGACAGGTCTCTTTTATGTGCTTACATTTCTCACAAATTTGAAGGATTCCAACAAAGTGTGTTTTGTCCCGGTTCATATAACTTGGGGCAATACTATAGTACAGAAGGCACAAAACATGCGACTTGTGTTCCAAGAGGTATTTGTATTCATCTTCTCAGAAAAAAAAAAGATGACTCTTGAAAGGCCCAGTTGTTTTTTTAATACATCTAGAATAATGCCAACAATATATACTCAGGACAAAGCAATAAAAAGACAAAAATGGTATTTTATTTCGAAGTATTTATTTACTCCTACTATTGGAAAGTGGGATTTTCTCAAAGTTATAATTTTATTAGCTATAAGTCAAGTTGACAGTTTGAGAACACTGGGAAAATTCCTTATAAAAATATTCCAATAGCCACATGGGTCACTGTCTTATAATTTACTGAAAAAATGTGCAGAAAAATCTACCAGTCATATTTTGACTTATCACTCTCACTGCACTGCTGAGATTTTCCTCTGGAATATCCTATTTGTGGTTTGGAAACATTTTTTTCTTTTTTTATGTGGCTTGCCTTCTTTAGAGGCTTCATATTTTAATGGGCTTTTATCTCATTGTTTATTCTCAACAGCATTCATTTTCTTGGCCATGATTTACCTATCATTTTGTAAGAATTCACTCGATTTTTAGTCTAAATAGCTTCTTTTATGTACTGATAAATTTGACAAATTAGAATATCATTTTCAAAATATATGAAACTTGGAATTTTTTCTTTGCTTAGCATTTTTTTCTAGCAATTGATCATTCATCAAATTTCAGTGATCTATAAATCAGGAGAAAAATGTATATTTTCATTTCTCTCATTGAGTCCAATTTGGCTCTAAGAATCAGACTTGTTTCCCACAGAAATCAAACTTGGCCATTTAATTTCCTTTACCTCAGTCCCAATCCAATTCAAAACAAAGTTTGTCTTTCAAGTCCTACAAACTTATTATACCTAACATTTGACTTGAAGATAATATAATGTTTCTTAACCAAAAAGGGACACAAGGGCCCATATCTTTCACTGGAATTTAAGTTTCTGATTCATTTGGCCTCTACATCTTCTTCAGTTCTCATATATAGTCCTAAAGCTTTTTTACACTGTTTATCTAGACTTCCTAACAACATATATCTGGAGATATCAAATGATAGAAGGCCAAATAATCCTGACCTTTTGGAGAGTAAAGGATACCTGGGTTTAAATAATAATAATAATAAATAAAATAAAATAAATCATGCATGGCTTAATGTTCTTATCTGTCTCAAGGAAAGAAATGGAGATGAGCCAGTTTATAAAAACTTCTTTGCTTCTATTAAGTCCAAATAAGGACCATAGAGGTAAAGGCAGGCAAAGTAATGAAGCACTTTTCTCTCCCTAACTTACAAGACACATCCAACTATTTGAAAGTTTTCTCTTAATAGTTTAAGAATTACTAAAAAAAAAAAAAAGTCATGCCTTCATACTTATGTTGAAAAGTCAGCAATTCTAAATCATGAGAAATTTAAACAGAACTTTCAAACAAAAAGAGTCCTTAGAGATCCAATCAAACACTTTCAAATGAATAAACTGAGGTTCAAAAAGCTAAAGACTTATCAAGATCACACAAATAGTGGCAGATATCAGATTCAAACACAGATCTCTAAAATCCTAGCAATGTCCATTCTCACCAAGCTTCCTACTGTACAAAATGTCTCTTAACTTTAGAATATTTTTCTTACTTAAGAAAGTACAAATACATAATGAGGAAATAATTCCAAATGAAACTCTTTGCTATTGACCACAGGTTTTATAAATATTGTTTAGATGAAAATACCCAGCAAAAATAAGATATATAATTCTATTACAGTCACAGCTACCTAGCTATAAGTTAAATGTTTTCAATAAATTTAAATCTTGTTTCTTAATATTAAACAGATATTTTCAAAATTGACTAAACTTAAAATTAGGTGGGTCAGCCTTCTGCTTCTTTGCCTGCCCCTGTTCTTTTGAAATATAAATTATAAAAATCTCGTTACCTGAATCAAAACTCAAATGTTGTCTAGTGTTAACTATCACTACATAAACATAGTGTTCGCGCATTACACAGTATGTATTGGTTTTTCAAGTCAACAATTTTCCATTGGTAGGCCTATTTCCATTCTATTATTCTGGGGCTTGTACTAAAAAAACACACATGCATTTTAGATAAATTATTTTTCCCCACAATAATTTCACGATTTTGCCTGGTTACTGTTTTGGGACCACAGGATTAAATCCTAATGTTTATAGTCCTTTCATTTTAATTTTATTTCTCTGGACTGCCCATAATCCCTTCTAATCATTTCAGCTATGGCAATTTTACCAACTGTGATAATGCCTGCTCAAACGTTCAGACTTTATGTGTGCAGCGATGTTATTTCATTGGCTTGGCACATTTGTGTCATGTCATCAAGCCTGTGCTTTCTCAATGGCCTTTTAGTTTTGCAGTCATTAACTTAAAGCATTACTTCTAGCTGGAATGATGGTTCTTTACAAACATCAACAAAATGTGCCTCCATTTGCCTTTGCCTTACAACCTGATATCTAAGAGATGGCATATCCATGGTTCCATACAATTAAATTGTATTTATTATAAATATGTAAGTTTTTAAGTATCACAAACCAAGTCCTATCAAATAAAGTGAAAGTATGTATAATATTCCTAAATCCGAAACCATGTAAAAGCTCTTCTTGAAGAAAACTATTCAGCCAAGAAGCTCAACAAAATCTCTAAGAATCAATTTGAGAAATAAAAGTCAAAACATCAAATTGTCAGCGGAAAAACTCCTGAAGCTGAAGCATTTAAGCTTCATGTTTTAAGAAAGATTTTGAGACATTCAACATAGTAATAGCAGCTGCTGTTAAATATTGTCTTATAAGTTCAAAAAACATACTTCATGAGCTACCAGACTCTACTGTTTTATTATACAGGATGCCTAATGAACTGCTATTCTTGTCACTACAGAGAAATTATAGAATAATTCTTAGAAAATGTGCAGGACTGCCTGAAAATGAATGGCTGGTGTTTTCCAGATTGTTATTCTCTCACCCTTCATATAAGATTCAAAGTGGCAGTTTCTGTGACTGATACTCATGTGTCATTTTCAAATGCCAGTGTGACCCACTGCATCTGGTATTTTTCCTGGTAATAGAATTTTGGAACCCTAGCTCAAGGAACACTAGGAAGATACAGATGAGACTACAAGGCTGAATTCCTTAGGGATACACCCTTGGCAGGATGCTCAAAGTTCAAACACGTGAAAGAAAGGCCATTCCAGAGAGTTACACAGATTCAAAATATTTCTGAAAGGCTCCTGGTCAAATTATGGGGAGTTAAACATTGTCAAGGTGATGATAATCACAATAATTCAAATCTGTAAAATATTCTTAAATACATTCATCAATAACATGGCAATGAAATAAAATGTTTCCAGTATTTAATAGAAATCAGCTATCTCTAACTGAAGAAATATACTCATATAATACTAAATGATTAATAATAACTATGCAGTGGTTTATTTTACTCTGTCTCGACGCTTTTGAATTTATAAAAGAACATTTCAGAATCAAAATGATTTTTAATCATTGAGCAGTCAATCAAGCTTTAACAAAGCTTGATGCCATTTAGATGACAAAAATCCAGAAGCTCTTCTGAACCAATTAGAAGATATAAACCCTTGATCCTCTCTAATGAGGCATTTATAAGTCTTGGACTCCTTCAGCTTTCTAAACTTAAAAGCTACAGTGATCCCTCAGAGTTCATTCATATAATTGATGCAATATTTTCCATTTCACCTTTAAAATGCTGAGAAAAGTCCTTGGCATTAACAATTTAACGTCAGTGTAAACTAACAGGAAACTTTGTGAAAGAACCCAAAACAGTTCTCCAACTCACAGAAGATTAGCCCATGAAGCTTCAGAATGTTTTGATAATTAATCTTTCTATAGTGAACCTTTTTGATTATTTAACTTTAAAAACCCAGGTTCATTTCTAGACCACGTTCATTTAACTATAGATTCTTCATCCTCGGATTTTACAAAGCGATTCAAGTTTCATTTAATTTTTTTAATGATTGTAATGTGGAAAGATGCGGTCATTTGTAATCCACCCCATGCCTGAATAATAATGACCACTGGAAATGAATCAAAGGCTGAGCTGCCACTGTTGTTTTCATCATGACTGATCAACTTGACAGTCTGCTCATTTTCACCCTGAAATAAGCAATATGAAATCAGAAAGTCATGTAAAGAATTACACATTTGTTTTGAATTCTTTAATCAGAGGATGCTATAATTTCATAATAAAAAATATGAATGCTTCATTTTAAGAGATTTAGCAATAACTACATGTGGGGTTTGTTATGAGAGATTTCCAATTTTTTCTCTGTATATATTTGTTTGGAACAAGACAAAACATTAGATCATCTTCGAAGATAAGTAATGGAAAATGTCCTGTTCTCAGGCCTATAATATGAAGCCCTTGATAAATCTTGAATGCTTAAGATCATGTTAAAAAGTTATACGACTTTGAATCATTTAGATTAAAAATTTTGGGGAGTTGACCCTTCATACACTTTTTCTCTTCTTTCTCCCTTATGAAAATCATTGTTATCATGAAAAACTAACTGAGCTTTACTTTAAATAAAATAAAGTCATACTTATAATATTCTCAGATACATGACTTAGACAAAGAAAAATCACTACTTTAAACTGAGTTTCCAGACTTTTAAAGTTCACAAAACTCTATTACATACCTCATTTTTGCAATTTCCAACCTAGAAAATTAAAGGACATATACCCATTGTGTCTAAATTAATTAAAAATAATTTGATATTTCAAAATGAGTAAGAGCAAATTCCAAATGTTCTCACCACAAAAAAAGATAAGTATTTGGGTTTATAAATCTGTTTATTAGCTTTAATTATTCCACATTGTATTCATAAGTCATAAACCTCATTTTGTACCCCATAAATATATACTGAACAAATATCTACCAGTGACTTTTTACTAACTTTGAGTAGAAAGGACACTAAGGTAAAATTCAGTGGGAGAAATCAAAAGAGCAACAGATTTGTCTATGAAAAAGACAAATTTCAGTGCTTAAGGAATAGTAAAAACAAAAGTAAGGTAAATCAATTCTTTGAAAAGATTAAAATTTGTCTTCAAACACAGAGCAAATTCATCATTTTTCTAAGAACTGACAATTTCACCTATTTCATGTCACCAAACTTGCTCTCTGGTTGCTAGGAAATAGAGTTACACTTCCCCATTTATGATTCCCAGCTTTTTCTGCTGATAGAGAATGTACAAATCAAAATAGTAATTTCTAGATATGACTCAATAGATACTAACAAAATGAATAAAATTTTTTTTATAAAAATTCAATTTGAAGGAGTCCCCATGATGCCAAACAATAAAGAGAAAAGAGAAATTTGGTCAGTTTTTAATGTTTACTAAATTACATTCTATCTATTGCTTTGAAAATATCTACTAAGGACATAGATTTGCAGATTTAGTCTATATACTGGGATCAAATTTTAGCAAATATTTAAGAATTATTGAACTGTAGAAAAATTAATGATTGTTTGGATTTATAATTATTCATTTATTCAACTACTAGAAAATTTTCTGTGAATACATGATGTTCAATTATTAAGAAATACTCTTTCTAGAAGAGACTGTTCTTTCCCCAGAGTGTGTTCTTGGCATCTTTGTTGAAAATCAATTAACCATAAAGCATAGCTTTATTTCTGCATTCTCTTTTCTGTTTCATTGGTCTATGTGTCTGTTGTATGCCAATACAATACTGTTTTGATTACTATAGCTTTCTAGTATGTTTTAAAATTAGGTAGTATGGTACCTTCAGTTTATTTTTTTTCTTCAAAAGTTATTTTTTATTCAGATTTTTTGTGGTTCCATATAAATTTTAAAGATTTTTTTTCTATTTCTGTAAAAAATGTCCTTGGAATTTTGATAGAGATTTTGTTGCATCTGTAGATCATTTTGGGTAGCATGAACATTTTAACGATATTAATTTTTCCAATGCATGAAAATGGGATATCTTCCCATTATTTGCATCTTCTTCAATTTCCTTCATCAATGTCTCATAGTTTGGCATATAAATATTTCACCTCCTTGGTTAAATGTTCTAAGTATTTTTTGTAGGTATTATTAATGGGATTGTTTTCTCAATTTCTTTTTTGCATAGTTTATTCTTAGTGTGTAGAAACATTACTAACTTTTGTTGTTGATTTTGCAACTTGCAATATTCCTGAATTCATTAATTAGTTCTAACAGTTTTTGGTAGAGTTGGAAATTCTGGATATCCATATGCAGAAGAATGAAATTCAACCCCTATCTTGCACCACATACAAAAATCAACTCAAAATAGATCATAGACTTAAACACAAGACCTGAAACTATAAAACTACCAGAAGAAAACCTAGAGGAAAATCTCCATGCTCCATCACATTGGTCTGGGCATAGATTTTTTTTTAATTTGATTCAAAAATCACAAGCAACACAAGAAAAACAGCCAAATAGGATTATTTCAAACTAAAAAGCAAAGCAACCAAGAGTCTGAAGAGACAACTTACAAAATGGAAGAAAGTATTTGCAAACCATACATCTGACAAGGAGTTAATATTCAAAATACTAAACAACTCAATTTAAAAAAAAAACCAAATTTAAAAAATGGGAAAAGGACCTAAATAGATATTTTTCAAAAGAAGACATACAAATGGTAGATTAAAAAAAAAGTTCAATATCACTAATCATCAGGGAAATGCATATTAAAACTGTAATGAATTATCTTCTCGCATCTATTAGAATGACTATTATAAAAAAGAGAGAGAGAGAGATAGTAAGCACTGAGGCGGATGTGGACAAAAGGAAACCCTTGCACACCATTGATGGGAATATGAATTAGTACAGCCATTATGGAAAACAGTATGGTAATTCCTCAGAAAATTAAAAATAGTTCTAACATATGATCCAAATTCAAAGGAAATGAAATCAATATGTTGAAGAGATATCTGTAATTCTATGTTCATCAACACTTTATTCCCAGTAGCCAAGGTATGGAATTAACCTAAATATCCTTCAATGGATGAACAGCTAAAGAAAATGTGCTTTATACACAAACGAACACACACACACACACACACACACAGAGTGGGATACTATTCAGCATTAAAAACAAAGGAAATCTTGTCCTTTGCAACACAGATGAACCTGAAAAAACATCATGTTAAGTGAAATAAGTTGTTCACAAAGAGACAAATATAGAGTCTAAAAAAGCAGAACTCACAGAAGCACACAATAAATGTGATTTCTAGGGGATAGGAATAGAGGTCATGGTGACTATGGTTAATAACAATGTATTGTATACTTGAAAATTGCTGAGAGTAGATTTTAAAGTATTTTCACCACAAAAAAAGAATACATATGTAAGGTAATGCATATGTTAATCAGCTTGGTTTTGCCAATCCACAATGTATACATATATCAAAACATCATGTTGTATACCAAAAAAATACACAATTTTTATTTGTTAATTAAAAAAATAAATTAAAACAAAAATGTTAAAAACAAAAAAGAATTACTTTTTCTAACTTTCAATCGCAGAACTTTGATCTGAAGCTAAGACATCCCATAGGCAATTTCCAGAGCAGCATGCCATGTTATTCCACATGATAATCTCATATGGAGAACAAACAGCAGGATTTCAGCCCTTCAAAAATATGATTCATTTTTATTCAGGAAAACAAAATTAATCTGTTTAATAAGAAAGTAAAGAAAAATAAGCCCCAAACACAAAGAATTTATTTTTTAAACCATTCTGTATCAGCAGAAGTTTTGTTCCTACATATTTTTTATTTGATGCCAGCATGCTCTTTTTGCAGTTACCACCCCTTTCTGTTAGAATTCTTATTTTTGGATGAGTGATCAATTGCTTCATGTTGATTTTCCCCAGCAAGCTATAGGTTCACCCCAGCTGCAAAAATGTTCTCAACTCTAAGCAAAAGCTCCATAGGCAAAGTCAGCATACGATCTTTCAAATGCAAACAGTGTGACTCTGTAGGAGTCTAACTCAGGAATTTGAGAAAAGGACTTTGTGAGAGTGGTAAGTTTGTGGCATTTATTACTGTTTTTAAATCTGACCCAAAAAAGTTACTAAAACTCCCATAAAATTACTGTATTTAACTCTCAGATAAGACTTCTGACATACGAAGTTCATTTAATTTACCAAAATTTCTCATAGACTAAATACATATCATTAGCTATACTGCAAAAGAAATGTCAAAAGCTTGGAGCAAGTTGTTCAGGGGCACCCTATGTTAGTGCCAAGTTGGACATACAACTTCTAGGCTTCTAATCCAAAGTTGATAGTACTGGGAGTATCCCTATAGTAAAATATTGATAACACACAGACTTTTCCTGATAGATTGAATTTATTTCCTGTTATCTCAAAAAGCACTGGAATTTGATGTGTTGGAATTTGAATAAAATGAAAATTTAAGAAAAGTTCTGCAGATGTTGCATAATTATCATCTTGTCAAAGAAGTCTGATGAAAATAAAACCAAATTTATTTCCTTTATCTTCATCAAATTTTGCAAAGACTTAACCAGCTGCTCTCTAAACTACAAGAACCTGACAAATTTCAGTGGAAGTGGGTCCTGCACCCTGAACATGATTCAAAAGGACTCTAAACTAAGACAACATCAGCATCAGGATTTTATTGCCTTCTATTTATAATGATCATGCTGCAAAGTAAGTGATTCTACCTCCCCCTCGCAAATGTTTCTTTTCATTTGCTCTCAATTTATTTTATTAAATTATCATGAAACTATATCCTGTATTGCAAAATGAAATTTCATTACACAATGGGTTTACATGCAGTGGCAGAGACTTTTATCTACACATCCCCTTTCTCTCTTCTTTCCTGTAAGGAACACTCTTCTCCTTTTAAAGAGGTAGGTACTCAACGAGAGACCACATTTCCCAGCATTTCTTGCAGCTATGTGTGATCAGATGACTGGTTTCTTTCTAATGGTATTTTAACTGGAATTATACCTGCAACTTCAGCCTCCCCTCTTTAAAAGAGAAAATCACTTGCCCTCTCCTTCTCTGTCCCACATCTCACAGTCTAGAAAATAAACTTAGTGTTGAGCCAGTGTCCACCAGACAATCTAGGACAAATTTAAGGAATAGCAGAGCAACAATGCAGAAAGAATAGGGGCTCCTGATTGACTCAGCAGCCTCCTCCAGGTTTCTTACATCTATTTTGCTTGAACCACTGTGTTTTGGGTTCTCTTTGTTGGCACCTCTTGCCTGTATCCAAAAAGTGCAGACATTTATTTAAATTGGAACTCCCTGTACCTACCCCAGTCTACCACTTTCATATGTATTGAAACGTTGCTGGCAGTGACAGTTTTCCCAGATATGTAGCAAAGGCCATTAAGAGATCAGTGTTTTTCCTCTTTTTGAACAAGCAAAAGCTATTTTGTGGTAAGTGACTTGAGCAACTGGGCCTAAACAACCCTGGAGTATCCAGGCTGCTACCCTTTAGCTCCATGACATTTGTTTTTCATCATTTCATTATACCATCAACATTATTTGAAGTTTCTCTTCACTGTGTTCTTGCACTGAATTTTATTCTACCTTTTTTATTACCACCACAAAACACATATTCATGTGTCTCCTTACTATCCATTTTTTGCATGTGTTTGACCAAGGGCAATCAGACAATAGAAAGTATTATTTCACTAATATTCACCAAATTTCCTGGCATTTGACAGGTCCTCCCAAACTGTCCTATTGAAATAATGCTGGATATACTAAAACTACATTAGCAATGTTGCTGGAAGTATTAGTCCAAGGTACCATAGCTCCAATATGCACACATTTCTATCACTGATTTAAGGTTTTTGACAATATTCTACAATCTGCATTTATTGCAAAGATGTCACTCTTCTCTTTTGTTCTTTAATTCATTTTTTCAAAGACAAAGATTAAACTTTCAATGAAATAAGTACAATTGCATCAAAAATGTCTCACATAATATCTGTGACTTCCAATCTTACAGCTAAGGGAAAAAATAACTTTTACCTTTGGTCTCAAAAACCAGAGAGAAAATAACCTTAAAGATGATCTTCTCCAGGAGTTTTAAAACTGCATTCTGGCACCCTACAACTCAAGAATTGGCTTGAGGTATGCCTGCAGTGGGATGGGGAGAGGAAGCTGAGTGGGAAGGACCAGAGTCTCCCCTCCCTGCTTGAAAGGGAAAAGTTTTCTTTTATCTTTATCATATTAGGGTTTAGTTTGAGATTTTGTTTGTAAAAGGGATCTCTTAATAACTGTTTGGAAAGCACTGAGCTAGTCCAAACCAGATGAGGAAATTAAAAGCTCAAGAGCATAAGATTTATCAAAGGTTGGAGCGATGACTGGTGGTGAAGCTAAGATGGGATGCTGGTCTTTCACATCTGGTCCAGAATTTTTACACCCAAGCTATAGAGATTGCTTAATAAAGTGTGGGCACCCAACCACACATAGAGTTAAAATGACATAGGTACTCTAGTGCTCATGTGACTATAGGAACTTCAGCATCAACTTCAAATATATCTATAATTTCCATTTAGCTTATATTTCATAATAGTGATAAATGCTTTAATATCCTGTGCTGTGCCCAGCAACTGAAATGCTAGTATTAATTTTTTCATTTTATAAAAAGTAATTTTTTATTAAAAAATAAAATTATGGGCCTGCCTGGCGTAGTGGCTCACGCCTGTAATCCCAGCACTTTGGGAGGCCGAGGTGGGTGGATCACAAGGTCAGGAGATCAAGACCATCCTAGCTAACACAGTGAAACCCTGCTTTAGTAAAAATACAAAAATTAGCCGGGCGTGGTGGCAGGCGCCTATAGTCCCAGCTACTCGGGAGGATGAGGCAGGAGAATGGCATGAACCCGGGAGGTGGAGCTTGCAGTGAGCCGAGATTGCGCCACTGCACTCTAGCCTGGGCGACAGAGCAAGACTCCATCGCAAAAATAAACAAACAAATAAATAAATAAATACATAAAATTATGATGTGGCAGGAAGCACAAGACTGCAAATTAGAAAACATGATTTTAAATACCACTCTGCAACCAAAGAAATAGCTTATGCTCTTTTTTTTCCCACCATCTCACCTTGATAGGCCTCAAGTTTCTTAGCTTTTAATGCAGTTAGTCTATATGATTTACAAGGTTTTCTCCAGATCTAAAATCTATGATTCTGTCTTTCAGGTAAATTATGTTTATTCCACATCAAAGAATAAAATGTATAACTATTCAAGGTATATCTCTGTGTACAATTTATGCATGCATTAGGATATGCCTATGAATCAATAGAATCTTCAAACTTGTATGTTCCTACTTTGTGTTTTTCTCATTTTTAAAATTAAACTTATTTACATACAGTAAATGTACCCTTTTTAGTGTACAGTTCTGTGAGTTTTGACAAATATATACAGTTGCATAATCGCCACCACAAAATCAAGATATATAACAATTTCGTTCTCTCAAAAGTTTTCCCCATGGTCCGTTATAGTCAATCCCATCTCTAATCCCTGGCAATTGCTGCTCTATTTTCTGTCACTTTAGTTTCATCTTTGCTTTTTTTTTTTTAATCTAGAGACTTTTTACTTTCTTACTTTTGTCTATAATTCTGAAAGTTAAATAATATGCACCGCCTACCTTCATGATTGCCGTATATAAGTTTTCTTATTTAATTTTACCATCTTTATAATGCTGGCAAGTCTGCACCTATTTTATAAATGAGGAAACTGAGACTTATAACAGGAAGTAATTTTCTACAGTCAAACAACTCATAAGCAATGGAGCCCAACTCCCCTGTGACCACAGCACCACAAAACTGGCTCTGGTTCAGCCTGCCTCCAAATTTCTTCTACATGAGAGCAATAGAAACTTCTTTTTGTTTGAGCCTCTGTTACTTGGAGTTTTCTGCTTTATAAAGCCAAATATATCCTCAGTTCTTTTGAGTTCCCTTTTTGGAGTACCCACTTCTCAGGACACATACTACATATCTCATAGCAAGCTTATCAAAGTCAGGGAAGGATCATAGTTTAATTCACAGTGGTACATTTCTGGAGCCCTGATTGTGCCCACAGGTCAAGGTGCATTCTCTTTATTTTACTTGATTTTAGATTCAGGGAGTACATGTGCAGGTTTGTTTTGTGAGTATATTGCATAATGCTGGGGTTTGGGCTTCTGTTAAACCCACCACCCAAATAGTGAGCATGGTACCCACAAATTCATTTTTTTTTAATCTTTATGTCTCAGAACTTGATCTATATTTCAGTTAGTTTCAAACCCAGAGGAGGATAGGGATATTTATTGGTGTCCCTAAATTCCAACAGTTATTTCTATTTCAAATTTACCACGATTGCCCATTCTCCAATTCGTCTTGTGCTACTATAATTTTTAAAACCTGTTTAAAGGCCAGGCATGGTGGCTCATGCCTGTAATCCCAACACTAGAAGGCCAAGGCAGGATGATTGCTTGAGCCCAGGAGTTCCAGACCTAACTGGGCAAGATAGCAAGATAGACCCTCTCTCTACAAAAAAATTTAAAAATTAGCTGGGTGTGGTGGTGGTGGTGCCTGTAGTCCCAGCTACACCAGAGGATCACTTCAGCCCAGTAGTTTGAGATCACAGTGAGCTATGATCACACCACCATTACACTCCAGCCTAGTTAACAGAGAGAAACTCTGTGTATTAGTCTATCTCATACTGCTATAAAGAAATACCTGAGACTAGGTAACTTATAGAAAAAGAGGTTTTAATTGGCTCACAGTTCTGTAGGTTCTATGAGAAGCCCAGCGGCTTCTGTTTCTGGGGAGGCCTCAGGAAGCTTCCAATTATGGCAGAAGGCAAAGGGGGAGTGAGATGTCTCCCATGGCAGGAGCAGGAGCAAGAGAGGGGGCGGGAGTGCTACACACTTTTCAACAATCAGATCTCATGAGAACTCACTATTGTGATGACAGCACCAAGGGGGGTGGTGGTAAACCATGAAAAGCCACCCCCATGATCCAATCGCCTCCCACTATGTCCTGCCCCCAACACTGGGGATTACAATTCAGCATGAGACTTGAGTGGGAACGCAGATCCAAACCATATCACTCTGTCTCTAATAAATAATAATTATGTAAATAAATAAATATAAAAACTATTTAGTCTTGATTTTAGCATGCATGTTAAAAGTCCATTTTATGTCATACTCAAATTCACCAAAGTATTTTTACTTTAGAAGCCAACCGTGGTCACACAAATAGGACAATCTATCTCACGCCCACAGATGCCAGATCCACAGGCCAAGGTTCCCTTCCCTTTAGTCCCCTCAGACCACCATTTATAGCGTAACATACCTTAAGATTTGAAAATCTTAAGGCTATTGACATAAGAAAAATGGTGTCTAGTATAGGAAAGAAGGCTACAATGGCCTATAAATTTTTTTTAAATATACTTACGTGGGAAGAACTAAAGTCTGCATTTTAAAATATTGTGCCTTTCACAGGTGCTTCCTTGTTAAACAATTTGATGAAAGTTAATATTTACTTCACATTGCAATCTGCACACATTTTTATATAAGATATAGGAAGCATACAATTAAAACATGAAACTATTACATGAACAGTATGCAAGCAAGCTACTTGAATTAATTTTTTTTAAAAATAAAGGAAATGTCATCCATGTCCCTGCAAAGGACATGAACTCATCCTTTTTTATGGCTGCATAGTATTCCATGGTGTCTATGTGCCACATTTTCTTAATCCAGTCTATCACTAATGGACATTTGGGTTGGTTCAAAATCTTTGCTATTGTGAATAGTGCTGCAATAAACATACATGTGCATGTGTCTTTATAGTAGCATGATTTATAATCCTTTGGGTATATACCTAGTAACGGGATCGCTGGGTCAAATGGTATTTCCAGTTCTAGATCCTCGTGGGGTGGGGGCAGGGGGAGGGATAGCATTAGGAGAAATACCTAATGTAAATGATGAGTTAATGGGTGCAGCAACCAACGTGGCACATGTATACATATGCAACAAACCTGCACGTTGTGCATATGTACCCTAAAACTTAAAGTATAACAAAAAGAAGAAAAATAAATAAATAAAGGAAATTGTTAATATTTTAGTATCGGAACTACTAGCTCAAGGAAAAATACTGTTATCTGGTATCATGAAGCAAATAACATTACTTATCTTGGAGAAATAGGAAGTCATAGCATGTGTATTCGTCGGGAAGAAATTTTTCTCTATTGTCCATATAGGAAGAATTGTGCTCTTAGTGGCTAGTGGTTTTGATTTTAGTTTATGGACTTTCTGACTCTTGGATTCATTACGTTTCCCTCTTTTTTTTGACTGCTAAAGCTTAGGGATATATTTATATACTTCTTCTACCAAGGGGATATAAATTCATGAGCTAAATTTTATATTCTTTCATCATTCCAGTGGCCATCTTTTTTCCTTAATTTTACCTTCTTTTTGCTTCTTTTAAATTATTTTAAATCGTTAGTACTCTTAAATGTAGATATTCCTTTACTATTTCTTAAATCATTTTGGAACAACACAAATTATAATTTAATTAGCTAGTAAATTATGCTAACATTGGAATTTTTAGCTATCCACTTAAGACATTGAAAGTAATATAGGTATTAGTATAGACTGTGAAAGATAATTATATTTTCCTCTTTCTGAAGTCAATAATCAAAAGATGTTAAAGTTAGTCAGCTTTATTATTTTAAAAGTGTTTATGGAGGTCGTGGCTGTCAGACATATAAATTCAATTTAACTCATAGAGAAATAAAAACATGTGAAAGTAAATAATCCTAATGGTTCAAAAAATCAGAAATTTGATATTAATGCACTACTGACTCCAAGCTCAGACTAACATATCCATTGTTCAACAATAGAATGAAAGTTAAAGTTAATCAGCTTTATTATTTTTAAAGTGTAGTTATATTTAAGTATAACCATACCAATGTATTTTGGTTGGTTCAATTTCTTATTACAAATGAACTCAAATTAAGAGAAAAATACATCTGCAATAATATTTATGTGGATATATGAATCACTTATAATAACATTTTAAATAGAATAAAATAACAAATCAAAAATGCTTAATACTGGGATAGTTTTCACTGACAGTACAGAATTAAAAAAGAGAAAACATCTCTTCTTTTTAGAACTTTTTGCCTTTGTTAGGTCCCTAAGCAATTTTACTCTAAAGTTATTTTACATAAAAATTTTCAATATCATTAGTTTAACTGAATTAGTTCTAGTTTATACCCTAGATCTATTATTACATGTTAATTGTTTTAAGTGCCTCCTCTCATTACCAAAGGTGTCCTAGTTTGAATGATGAGTTAAATGGTTATCCTAAATATGATGGATTTCCATAGTTTTCAAGAATGGTAGCTAGCATAAGGACATTACTCCAAGAATGGGCAAATTAATGATACAATAGAAGAGGGGAGGTCACTCTCTGAATACTATGGCTAAACATCTTCATAAATTGTCATATAAATGATATAGGCTTAGAGCCTACTCAGGAACTTCTAGTGAAAGTGCATGAAGATAATTCTAGTAGGTTAAAATGTATTAACTCCCTATTTCTGTGTGTCCCAGGAACTATACTAAACACTTTATTTGAATTATCTCACTTATTATTCAAAGCAGCCTTGTAGGTATTATTACTACTGCCTTCAATTTACAGATGAGAAAATTGAAGCTTACAGATTATAAGCAATTTACTCAAAGTTACACAGTTAGAAAGCCATAGAAGCAGAATCCAAACTTAAAATTCATACTTGGGCTGGAGCTTTCTATGACTTGCCATACAGATAGCCCATGAATCCATAAAATATCCTCTTGGGTGGTCTTATACCATCAGGAAATCCCTGCTTCACTTCTTCCCAATAACCCCACCGCAACACCCAACATTAATCTCAGAAATTCTTTCCTTAGAGAGCCATTCCCTCTGGCTTTGTTTAGCTAATGTGTAGTAGAAATTTTGTGGTTAACATTCCATTGCTTATTCTTCCCCTTACCTTTTAAATAGTTCCTTATTTAAACTTTCAGATTCATGTATTTATCATGAAGCTGACTCCACCTTCACATCTAAGAGGGAAGCATATGACCTGAGATCAGCTAATTCAGTGCATTCCTTTCCTTTGCCCATAAGGTTTGGCCCATAGCTGGGCAAGTGATAAAACCTGAAAGCCTCAATATTTACAGTCAGAATATTGGCACATAGACTGTTTTACATGATAGACATAAACAAGAACATATAGAATCTTGGGAGCTACCAGCATCCATTCGGGGATCTTAAAGATTAAAAGTAACACCACTATTATAGAGCCAGGAGAAATTGGGTCCTAGGTGGCATTTGATAACCCACTGGATCAACCTTCACTTGTCTTTGGCTTTTTATTTATGTGAGTGTATTGCTTAAGCCAGTTTAAGATAGGTTTTGTATTACTGGCAACTGAAATCAGCTGAATTAATCCATAAGGGATAACAATGGGAAATTGGCCCTGTGATATGGACAGGTCTCTTAGAAGGAGTGACATGTGGGCCGGGTGCGGTGGCTCACGCCTGTAATCCCAGCACTTTGGAAGGCGGAGATGGGCGGATCATGAGGTCAGGAGGTCGAGACCATCCTGGCTAACACGGTGAAACTCCATCTCTACAAAAAAAACAAAAAAATTTAGCCGGGCATGGTGGCAGGCGCCTGTAGTCCCAGCTACTCGGGAGGCTGAAACAGGAGAATGCTGTGAACCCGGGAGGCGGGGCTTGCAGTGAGCAAGACTCCGTCTCAAAAAAAAAAAAAAGGAGTGATGTGGAAAGGTGTATAGCACATTCCAATTTTGCCAAGGGCTGGAAAAATTGCAATATTTTGTAGATCACTGACTCTTTCAGTGTAGTCCATTGCCTATAAAATTATTTTTAAAGCTAAGTTTTTATATTTCATTTTAGCTTGCAAAGGCCATTTCCATCTTACATCATTCTAGCCTCATAACAATTCTGTAAGATTGGTATTATTATTATTACTGCTTTATAGATTTTTTTAAAAAGCTCGGGTGATTTTCCAAAGATTATAAATCTATAAAATGACTAAGAACAAGGATTTGAAATGAAGTCTTTTTTATTTCTGCTACTCCAAGCAGAACTGGATTTCACCTACAAATAAAATTGAATGATGGGCCTTAGTTCTCTAAGGTAGCTGGAAACCATGGCAAATGCCATCAGTGTATTCATACTTTGCCTGGGAATATGATACAAAAATGATGCTTTTAAGAGAAATACGTGCTTAACTATTTGCATCCTACCTTTAACCCCTAGTGATACCCCTAAATTATTTTCTTGAATCACCTAAGTTAACTATATCTTGTTTTCTTCACAGTAATACTGTTTATCAGGGGATTCTCCATGCCTAGGAAAAGCTCTTTGATCATCCGTGCTATTTTCCAGTCCCTACCATTAAATGGAAACAGCTTAAACTTCCAAATAGTAATAATACTAATAGCAATTTAAAAATAATAGCACTTAAATGCTCATCAACAATGCAGTGATTAGGTATCATTACTATGATTGTTATATAGATGAGGAGACCAAGGCTTAGAGACATTAAATGACTTTCCCAAGGCCACACATTTACTAAGTGACAGAACAAGGATGTTATCCCAGATACGTCAGATTCCAAAGATCCTGCCTTTGCTAGATATGCTACAACACTCCTGCCTTTGTGATTTTTGCCCAACCGACATTTTGTTAGAACTTCATCCTACAAGTGTTGGCATGCTGTTCTCCCACTGCCCAGCTCCAACACCCTCATTATGAGATCGACTCTAGTTTCTGACGTTACTCTTTTCTGCCAAACAAAAATTAACATTTTTTCTCATGACCTACACTGAAATTTGTAACATCAGATGATAATAGTCAGATAAATTAATCATTGCTAATGGGTTGATATTTAAGGTGTAACATCTTCTTCTCAGAGAACCATAATATTTTTACAAATGTAAAGAGATATTACAACACACTGACACATTAATCATATGATGATTATTATAGGGCACTATTAAATACTACAAACTAAACATATGTTAGTGGGGCTGAAGGCATGGGAGTCAGAAAATGGGCAGCATTTTGGGTCAACTACATTCTAACATTTATAAAAACTACTGCATGAGCCTCTCAGTCTACCTCTGTGTACGCTGAATCTAGCTAGTGCCTATCCATCACTAATTATATGTATGAGAATTTCTCAAGTAGAACAATAGGGTTAAAAATCCTTCTACATATTCACCCCAAAAGTATAAAGAATACAAATAGGTTTGCGTTGGTCTAACTAAAGAGCTCAATGGTCTGTTGTCAGCTCATTAAACCACATATCTGAAGAAGATGAACAACTATGGGATGTTTTACAGGTTTGCTGACTTTGTGAGAAAGTAAGCAGAGGCAAATGAAGAAAGTATATAAGAATAAACACTTGGAATTAATGGTCCATAAAACCTCAAGTTCTCTGCTGTAGAATAATATTGAAAATCACTTTCCTGATTTCACCTGGTTTGCAAAAATTGTATTCAGACCATCATATTTTTAGTGTTCTGTCCTCGTATCTCAAAAACATTTTGATCCCTCAGAGGCAATCTCTAAACTTCTGTCATTGCTTTTCAAATCACTAAACCAAGAGAATATACCTCGTAACTATAGGAAAACAGATCCCCAGGCAAATGAAAGGAAAGCAAAAATTATTTCATTTATTTTAATATCATCCCTCAGTCATTCTTGGCCTGTAGCCTAATTTTCACTGGCTTTTTAATGAGATTTGTATCTCTGCCCATTTGTGCGAGAACTTATTTTCAAGAGAATGCTATTACCCATACCCACTTTTCTGCAAGTCATTTCTACAGAAACAGGTAAAGCATCAACAGAAAGGGAAGTTGTCAGATCCCTTCAGTAGAGTAGTCAGGTTCCATCAATCAAAAGGTTGATGTCCAAATCAAATTTGTAGCAAAAGAGTAACAGAAAGTCTAATTTTACACATTGCAACAGGCGTGCTGTTCAGAAACTCTTCACATTGTTCTGGGTAGTTTGGTAGTTTTCTAGGTTAAAAAATATCTTTCAAAAAACCACAGTGAAGTGCCTGCCTTCTCACACAGTCTACTGGATTGGGATTTAAGATCCAGCTGAGGACTTACCTATCTTATAAGGCTTATTTAATTCTTATGGTACCAAGCTGGTCCAGAGGCTAGCATCTCTTTCCAAAAGTTGAGAAAATGTAGTTTTTAGCAGGCATCAAATCGTCATATTGGCCACTCTATCTCGTTCAAAATCATGTCCTTCTGTTAATTCAATAATGTCTATAAGGTTGATTAGGCTCATTTGGAGTCACCTTAAATAAGTATAGTTGTGAGAAAAGCTGTTGAATTACTTGCCTACTTGCCCTAAGGGGCTCAGAGACCTGCTCCCTAAGAAACATCTTTGTCTTTGATATCCAGCAATGCCCTTGATTTTTAAGCTCTTTCCCAGACCATGGCCAAAGAGGCTGATTTTGAGTATAATAGATGTCAAAACTACCACCAAGTTGTGTCAATTCTGCCTCCTGTTTCTCTTATCCCTCTATTTCTCTCCATCAGCACTGACACAATCCTACTCCAAGCCAGCAGGTTCTCTCACCCATATCCCTGGAATGTCATCCTAACTGATTCTCTCTCTTCTAATTTTATCCACTTTTCCCTCTGCAATTGAAGGTTTTAAAAACCTAGTAAAGATGTCACGTCTTCTACCCATAATACATTTCCTTAACTTCCTATTTTCCTTAGGATAAGGTTAAAAAAAAAAAAAACTTTAACATGGACTATAAAACATAAGAGGATCAGTTTCTAATCTGTCTACTCTCCACACTCACCATGTACTCTGTTGCCTATAGAATGTTGAAATACTAATCTCAACCTATTTTCAGTTATCCCACCTACCCCACCTTCCATTGGACACTTTATTGACTCACTCATCCTCCAGTCTCAGTTTTAACTCTACTTCCACAGGGAGTTTTTCCATGACCACTGGTCCATGTCATAGCCTTGTGATTCATTCTCACTGCAACCTGCACTTCACCGTTCATGATACTCTTAAGAACTGAAATGATTAATTTTCTATGTTTCCTGCTACACCACAAGTTCTGTGACATCAGAGACTGTGTCTGTACTATGTTTGGCAGCATGTATATCCAGTGCTTAGCACATAAAGGAATCCCAATAAATATTTGTTGAGTGGATTAATGAAGATGATAGGACTCTTTGATTTCTGCTTTGATAGCAGAAGTTTCCAAGAAAAATTTGCCAAATTCTAAAATGAGTGTCCACCCATTTGTCACTATCTTCAGAAATAGACTCTAATTTCTATTGAATTTGCAGATGTCAATGTCCATTTTAAGTACAAGTGGAATGCACAATTGAACATTTTGAACACAATTATGTGCTCTTCTTAGAAAAAGAAATGCATCTAAATACATGTGAATATTTATCTATATACTAATATACCTTCACTCATACGATGGGTGCTCCATGCTTATTGCTTAGGGAAAATAGAGGGAAAAAGTAAATCTGTGTGTCTATGTGTGAATGTACATGTATATAATTATTATAAAATAGCTACATGTTAAAGATATATGTGTTACTGTTTCTGACTGATCTTATTTCTTTGGAGTAATTCTCAACCTACTTTTATAAAGTAGTAGATTCAACCTACTTTTATAAAGTAGTAGATTCAACCTACTTTATTTATTAGTTCAAGAGCAGAAATGAGCCTAATCCTTCAGAATGAAGCCATCACATGATTGGACTACAAGTCTCTAGGGATGTGGAGACAGGAATAAAGGTAAGAGCTGACAGACTGCAATGTAACAGAGATGAAAAAGCAGGCAGGCATTATGGAGTCATACAATCCTGAGTCCTAATTCTGTCTTTGCTATTAACTGTGTGATCTTAAATAGGCTACCTAAAGTATTTGAGCCTCAGTTTTCTTACTTGTAAAATAGAGGTAAGCTAATCCTACCAATGTTTCAGGGTTATTGAAGAATTAACTAATAGAACATATTGAATGTGCTTGTGTATTGCCTAGCATGTAAAGGTCCTATTGTAAAAATATAGAAAACGTAAATGAGATATAAAATGAAGCACGTTATGGATTAACCTATTGCTTTTCCCCTCAACCTATTAAAAATATCTCTAAGGTAGACCACTTTTTTTTCTTGCTTTCTTATATTACCACATATAAAATATTTATGTTTTCATCATTGGCAGTTTCTCCTGCCAATCCCATCGCTTTATACACACACCATTTATTTTCCTTTTTTTATTTTTTTTACTTATTATCATTTAACATATATATGTGTGTGTTTTCTTTTTCTTGCTTATTTTTTAAGAGACAGGGTCTCCTTCTGTCGTTCAGTCTGGAGTGCAGTGGTGGCACAATCATAGCTCGCTGTAACCTCATACTCCTGGGCTCAGGCAATGCTCCTACATCAGCCTCCCCAGTAGTGAGAACTACAGGCATGTACTACCATCCCTGGATAATTAAAAAAAATGTTTTTGTTATATGATGTCTTATTATATCTTGACCAGCAAGGCTGAAATTGAACTTCTAGCCTCAAGTGTTCCTTCTGCCTTAGCATCATAAAGCTCTGGGATTACAGACATGAACCACCATGCCCAGCCTTATTTTCTTATTGTTGTATCCTCCCTCTCCAATATCAACTCCATGAAAGCAGAAATCTTTGTTTGAATTTGACCACTGTGATATCCCCAGTGTCCACAACAGTGCCAGGCTCGTAGTAGGCTCATCATTCTTTTTTGTAGCTAAAGTAGATAATTTTTTAAATAAATCACAGATAGACTTTACAAATGGATAGATTTTGAATATTTTAACATTTCAGCTGGACAAAATATTTTTTCTATTCAAATACTACTGTGCATGAAAATATATCATTAAATCAGGTTCCTACTAAGGGTTTCTCTCTTAAAATACAGACTGTTAGGTCAGGTGCAGCAGCTCATGCCTGTAATCCCAGCTCTTGGAAAGCCCAAGGCAGGTGGATCACTTGAGGCCAGGAATTTAAGACCAGCCTGAGCAACATGGCGAGATTCCATCTCTTCAAAAAATACAAAAATTAGCCAGGCGTGGTGGCACATACCTATAGTCCCAGATAATCAGGTGGCTTAGATGGGAGGATCACTCGAGCCCAGGAGGTCGATGCTGCAGTGAGCCATGTTCCTGCCACTGCACTCCAGCCAGGGCAATAGAGCAAGGTCCTGTCTCAAAAAAAAAAAAAAAATACAGACTCTTTAGGGAAAGTTATGGAGTTAACTAACTTATAACAAGGTGTTAAAGACTAGATCTTTTCCATTTGGCAAGAGAATCTAAGTAATAATAGAAAGTGCTTTGAGTGAAGGAAAAACTGTAACAAAGATGGTAAAGAGAAAGATGGAAAAAAATGTCACCTACTTCAAATTTTGCCTGGCACCCTCTCTGTATAAAATTCCAGACGAGCAGTTAGGAAAAGACACTAAAAATCTGGACCATCACTTGTCTTCTCAATAGCAGACTTTATTGTGACTTCACGATTAATTTAAATAATGTGAGACTACTTAAAGCCATTTCTAAAAGAAGTATAGGTATAGAGAAGTGAACAATTATTCTGGTTTATGTTCAGTTAGAGAGGGTTATCCAAATGACTATAGGGGATGGACTTTTCACCTGCATATTTGGGCATAACTCACCCCTTTTTTCAGCTACCACGAACATAACTTTACAAGGCTTCACAGGAATTTATGGGTTTTTCCATACTCAATGATTTTTAATAATATTTTAAGTATTTTTGAGAATCAGGAACTGAATGCCTAAAAGATTAACTTTCATCAAACAATATTCAAGACAGGCTCTTTGATTTGATTTTTCCCTGTACCTTGACTGTTTACAAAAACATCAAAACATCTGTTTTGTTTACAAAAACAAATTTAGCAGAAAATGTGCACTCTGAGGAAAATGACATAAGATTGCTTCCAGCACCAACTTCAGCTGAATGCTTCTTAATGTAATAATTTTTTATCTACCTGAAGGATTTGGGCAATATACTAATATTCAGAATTTACTTGGATCTGGGAATATCATGATCACCAAATGACTTTATCCAAATACAATGGCGATTAATCTTAATTATTATAGAGCAATCTTAATGATGTTACTAAAATAACTATCAAGAACCCATACTCACAGACTTTTTGCTATTATAACTAATTTTTTAATTACACATTTTACATATATATGTAGAAAAGTGTACACTTTGGAATATAGAAAACTTATCTTAAGCCCTGTATACAGCCTACTGGTATCGTCAAGTTAATCGACCTCTTTAAGTTTCAGTTTCCTTGTAAAACTAGTCTACTAACAACTATTTTATAAAGCTATTACGTCAGCAAGACAGAGTTTAAAAAAATACCGGGAAGGTCTAGCACATAATAGTGCTCAATAAATAACAGTGAAGAAAAAAATAGCTGTTAGGCCTAGGTCAAAGATTATATCCTTTGGACGAACCTTTTCTATCTCTTTCAAGATTACTGTAAACAGACCATAAAATAGTACTGAGAGGTGACAGCGTGCTGGCAGTCCTCACAGCCCTCCTCGCTCTCGGCGCCTCCTCTATCTGGGCTCCCACTTTGGCGGCACTTGAGGAGCCCTTCAGCCCACCGCTGCACTCTGGGAGCCCCTTTCTGGGCTGGCCAATGCCGGAGCCCGCTCCCTCAGCTTGCAGGGAGGTGTGGAGGGAGAGGCGCCAGCGGAAACCGGGGCTGCGCGCGGCGCTTGCGGGCCAGCTGGAGTTCCGGGTGGGCGTGGGCTTGGCGGGCCCTGCACTCGGAGCAGCTGGCCAGCCCTGCCAGTCCTGGGCAATGAGGGGCTTAGCACCCGGGCCAAAGGCTGCGGAGGGTGTACTCGGTCCCCCAGCAGTGCCAGCCCGCTGGCACTGCGCTCGATTTCTCGCCGGGCCTTAGCTGCCTCCCCGCGGGGCAGGGCTCGGGACCTGCAGCCTGCCATGCCTGAGCCTCCCCGCGCTCTGTGGGCTCCTGTGCGGCCCGAGCCTCCCCGACGAGCACCGCCCCCTGCTCCACGGCGCCCAGTCCCATCGACCACCCAAAGGCTGAGGAGTGCGGGCGCGCGGCACGGGACTGGCAGGCAGCTCCACCTGTAGCCCAGGTGCGGGATCCACTGGGTGAGTGAAGCCAGCTGGGCTCCTGAGTCTGGTGGGGACGTAGAGAACTTTTATGTCTAGCTAAGGGATTGTAAATACACCAGTCGGCACTCTGTCTCTAGCTCAAGGTTTGTAAACACCAATCAGCACCCTGTGTCTAGCTCAGGGTTTGTGACTGCACCAATCGACACTCTGTATCTAGCTACTCTGGTGGGGCCTTGGAGAACCTTTATGTCTAGCTCAGGAATTGTAAATACAGCAATCCGCACTCTGTATCTAACTCAAGGTTTGTAAACACACCAGTCAGCACCCTGTGTCTAGCTCAGGGTTTGTGAATGCACCAATCGACACTCTGTATCTAGCTACTCTGATGGGGCCTTGGAGAACCTTTGTGTGGACACTCTGTATCTAGCTAATCTGGTGGGGACATGGATAACCTTTGTGTCTAGCTCAGGGATTGTAAACGCACCAATCAGCGCCCTGTCAAAACAGACCACTAGGCTCTACCAATCAGCAAAATGTGGGTGGGGCCAGATAAGAGAATAAAAACAGCCTGCCTGAGCCAGCAGTGGCAACCTGCTCGGGTCCCTTTCCACATTGTGGAAGCTTTATTCTTTCACTCTTTGCAATAAATCTTGCTACCGCTCACTCTTTGGGTCCACACTGCCTTTATGAGCTGTAACACTCACTGCGAAGGTCTGCAGCTTCACTCCTGAAGCCAGCGAGACCACAAGCCCACTGGGAGGAACGAACAAACTCCAGACGCGCCACCTTAAGAGCTGTAACACTCACGGCGAGGGTCCGCGGCTTCATTCTTGAAGTCAGTGAGACTAGAACCCACCAGTTCCGGACACAGTACTACAAGTCTGGATATGGCCAGTATGATGGTGGGATATATTGACTAACAATCTTGAGATCTAGCTCAGTGTCCCCATAAGGATTTGTATAAAGTCATTTTATGTCAGTATAAAATTGGCCTATATTACTTTGGTGCCCATTCATTTTAAGTGATGGACAAGAAAATAATATGCTTATTTCTGCTCCGAATGTCATACTCCAACATGGAAGAGTGATTCAGTGAAGAGCAGGAGATCCACAGTAATGCTGAGCTATATTTATACCTTTTTTTTTGAGATGAGTCTGCTGTGTCACCCAGGCTGGAGTGCAGTGGCGCAATCTCGGCTCACTGCAAGCTCCGCCTCCTGGGTTCACACCATTTTCCTGCCTCAGTCTCCCAAGTAGCTGGGACTACAGGCGCCCGCCACCATGCCCGGCTTATTTTTGGTATTTAGACCTTTTCTCTAAGAAACTAAAGGCACTTTACCTTATGCCTTGGGATAAGGTTCTGCTGATTATCTGAACAAATAATCTTAAAACAATATTACATCCCCTGTTCCTTGAAGGGTAAGCTGGACTTACCAACTTGTTTTTAAAAAATTGAATATGAAAAGAAGAGTAAGTAATTTTTCCATGGAGAAACCTGAAAAACATGACCTCAGCCGTGTGATGAGTTTCAGTATCAATAATGTTAAGGAAAAAAACAGCAAGCCCAACATAGTCACTCATGCTAAGGCTTCATGTCATCAAACCAAAATCTGAATTGTTTAATTGAGATAGCTGACCTGCAAAATCAGGAGACATTTGACATTCTGAGACTATGGAGCAAGATGGTAGCCAAATGCCATCAAGCCAACAAGATTTTATTTACACGCTTATATGAAAAGTAATCTTAAAACAACCAGACCGCTATTCGTTGATTGTTCCTGCTTTTCCTATTTAACAATAATGATGTCATGTTAATAACATGTACCACTTCATATAATGTGATAAGGTTGGTATTTGCCTCTGTGGTATTCTCAGAGGCAAAACTCATAACCCCAGTATATTCATGACAAAACAATAGGCAAACCCAAATTGAGGAGCATTCTACAAAATCCCTGACCAATATCCATTAAAACTGTAAAGATCACGAAAAATAAAGATTTCACAGACCATAGGAGACTAAGAAGACATAACTAAGCACAATTTATAGCATGAGACTGAAACTTGGAATAGAAAAAAGACCTGTGTTGGGAAAACTAGTTAAATCTGAATAAAATCCAAACTTTAATTCACAGAGTTTAGTAATGTACCAATGTTGGTTTGTTAGTTGTGACAAATTTACCATGGTTGTATAAAAAAGTAACCATAATAGAAACTGGATAATGAATATATGGGGACTCTCTGTATTATCTTTGCAACTTTTTTGTAAATGAAAGTTATTCCAAAGTAAAAAGTTTACCAAAAACTTTAAAAATAAAAAAAAATTATAGATAAATAAGCAGAATAATGTAGCTAATTACAATCTCATTGTATCTTTAATGAAAATAAAATGACCTTGAATATATAAAGTATAAATTTGTCTATTGTATCATCGACATTATGAATCAATAGTTTGACTATTGTGTGTCTCTTAGAAAAGGATGAATGTTTGCTTTACCACTGGTTTTTTAGGGAGTAGTCAACAAATATTTAGTTAATAAGTGAAAGGTTGAATGAGTGAGTATTCTTCATGAATGCTCAAAGTAATGTTCTGTCCTGATCTTTGGAAATTCCATCCACTTGATCAGATTTGTAGTAACATTTATATTATTACCAAGTAAGTATTTGAAATTATATTCTGCTATTCTAAAAAAAAAATGCACTTTGTAGAATCTGCTCTACCTCATTATTATTATTAAAGTTTTTGTCATTTATTTATTTATTTTAGAGATGAGATCTTACTCTGTTGCTCAGGCTGGAGGGCAGTGCAGTGGTGTGATCATAGCTCACCACAGCATCAAACTCCTAGGCTCAAGCACCTCAGAGCCACCATGCCTGGCTAATTTTAAAATAGTTTTTTGTTGCCCAGGCTGATCTCAAACTCCTTTCCTCAAGTGATCCGTGATCTTTAGCCTCCCAAAGCATTGGGATTACAGGTGTAAGCCACTTACTCCCAACCCTTTCCCTCCTGATTATTAAAATAAAGTCTACGCCCATAGCCATAACGTTGATATGAGGATATCTCTGTTTTGGTGTCTTCACTTGGTATTTATGTGACGTCATTAACACTTATTTTTATATTTTGTTAGAAAATCTTGCACTTCTGTAGTTTCCAAGAGCTCTCTTCAGTTAGCTGTAAAAAGTTTGCCAATTAGTAAAGATAAATGCTAGAGACACACAAGCAAGACTAGGAACAATGACAAAAGTAGCAGATTCAAGCAAATGACTGTGGCAGTTTAGAACAAGTCACTGCAGACAGAAGAAGCCACTTAATGGAAATGTGAATAACAAATACATAAATGTAAATGGAAATAATTAGGAAGCTCTGTGGCCAAATGATGAGGTAACCACATGGAATGGAGCAGAACCTAGCAACAAACCTATAGAAAAAGAGAGGTTTTTTTTTTTTTTTTCAGAGACTGAGACACTGGATTGGTGCCTGAAACTGGTACACACAGTGGGAGGAACGGATGAGAGCAAGCATGGACAACCACATCCCTTGCCAAGCAAGCATCAGAGCTAGAATGGCTGGTGAGGTTGGGTTGGATAGAAGCAACTTCTGAAGTGCTATGTAGAAATTATACCTTTGCTTGTGTTCACAGTGCTTCTAGAATGGTGCTTCCTAATTAACCCCACTTAACTTAAAGTGGTTCTTAACCATATAATTTTCAAGGTTTCTATGAACTACCTGAAACGTATATAAAAATATAGGCAGATATGTCCATATTAGTATTTATTATCTGGAGTCAAAGCTTCTCCTTAGGCTGTGGGACTCAAAGACAGGTTGGGTGGAAGAGAATGAGTGGAAGCAAGAGGAAGAGCAGGAATACAAGAAATAACATTCATGGAGTGCAGCCTGCACAACAGAATAGTGTCAAGAGTCTTATCTGAATTAGCAACTCAAATCCTCACAGTTGCATGAGCTAAGTACTGTTATTATCCTCATTTTACAATCAAGCAAAAAAAAAGTGTGCAGCTTGCCCAAATTCACACTGCTCATGGTCAGGACTATCAACTGTAAAGCCCAAACAAATGTTCACAGTGTTATACTGTCCTCTTGGAAACCAAAAACTATCAAAAGTCACTCGCCTACATGGATGGGAATGATAGTTCTAGCAGCAATTTTTTAAAAATAAAACCAGTTTCAACACAGTCAAGAAGACAATGATAAAAGTCAGTAAATTATTCACTAATTTTTTTCAAGGTGCTTAATTTACATTCCGTGAGTTATCTAGGCCATGACAATATCTGGCCTTATAGATAACTTATGTGCTGGTTTTGATTTTTGCTCCTCTACCAAAAAATAGAAAGCTGTTTGAAACAACTTCAAAGTCATGAAGAAAATGTGTTTTAATTTGGCAGTCTGTGTCAATTTAATCTTGGTGACCCAAATGGCAAGCTCCGATTAGAACTCAGAGTTCTGGACTTCTTATTCACTGCTCTCAACCTTAGGGACTTCTAATTTTCATGAAACTTAGACTAGAACTCGTGGGAACAGCAACAGTAGTGCAACCATAGCTAAAGAAAATGAGTGTATCTGGGGAGCCTCATCAAAAAAGAGAAACGTTCTTTCCTTTCATCAACTCAGGGGATTCTAGCAAACTGTCTGCCAACTTTCATGTTTTCACCTTTATTTTTTTCAGCTGAACTTACTGCAGCTCCCATTGGTGAAACCTCTGGGCATGCTTACAAGGTTGTGAAATCAAGGCCTATCCCCGTTGCTAGAGTTTACAATCAAAAGAGCACAGAACAAATACAAAAATAAGCCTCATCACATAGGACTGGCAAACTCAAGGAAGATCTTGGACTTAATTATTTTGAAAACCTAAAATGAAGGGTTTGTTTCAGAAAAGAAAGAGAAGGCAATGAGTTAGATACAGGCATTTGGGCTTCAAAGGCCTGGAGCTGTTAAAAACGTAGGTTTCTTTTCCAGATTACAACTTTTCACACCCACTGGGGTTCATTCTTTTGCAGAAATGCATTCTGCCTTTTAGAAGGAAAATATTATCTTCAGCTCTCTGAATTACTCAAGGCAAACTCTGAAGCCAGGAGCATCCATAATCATATTATCATCACAGACAATAATACAGCATTAGAAACAGCAAGTTCCCTGATACAACTCAATGAAACCCATAGTCAGGTTCTCTATGTCATATTAACATATCCAAGTCAACTCCTATGCTATATTTCTGTCTTTCTCAAAATAAGAGTTATCACTGTTATAGAATAAGGGAATTATCAATGTTATACAAATCTGCTGCCAGCATTGAGTTATTTGGTGCGTGTCAGCCATCCATCATCTGTACACAGAAGCTGCACACAGAATCTGTGTAGACTCAACTACCTGTTTCATTATGATATTCAAATGGAAAAATGCCCAGAGTTCCTGCAAAATAAAGTTACTTACACAGAGCTTACTACATAATACAAACCCAATAAATCTTGACTATTATTTAATTATTGTTAATTTTTCATGATTCTCCCTCTGACATTAACATTTGAAAGAACATCTTCATGAAATCATAGGTAGAGATAACCAAACCTTAGGAAGTTTTATCAGCTTACAGAACAACTAACATACACCAAAAATATATCATTCTATTTAATAGAGAAAAAAAGCTAAGATTTCACAACCTCTCTTCCTGATTCATTTCAGTGTTTAACAACCCTGTCAGGAAATTCCTCAATTATTCTAACCCAGCTACCTCATACTGCAGTTTAAGTTTATTTCCTCATATTCTGGCTTCAATAGAGATAAAGAACAGATGGTCACTATCCTTTGCATAATAATAATATTAATGTTTTATGGGTACAAAGACTTAGTAAATCTTTTCTTGATTATTTTCTTTACCACAAGAAAGTCTAGTTCATTAAACATCATCAGTAGCACTGTGTTTGAATATACTAGACAAGTGTTAAATATCAAGAAAACACATCTATTATTTGTAACGTGCACAAAACATTCTCAAATTTGAATATTTTGAGCAACCATCTGCATACACTATATTTCAGCAAGGTAGCAAATGATGTTTTTGAATATTTACTTGAAGAAGAGAAAATTCTTAATTAAGCAATAGTAGAATAAGTTCTGCAGAAAAATTAAAATGATTTGGATAGAGTTTGTCATATTTTTGAATTCACGTTCAACTTAAAAGATAACCGAATAATTTTAGATTAATTTACCTAGGCCAATATAAACTTCAGAACAAATTATGAAGAAATACTTTATAAAAACAAAACCACAAAGTTCTGAATAAAAAAATAACACCTATCATCAATGAGCCTTTGATAAGACTGATGAAATAAGCAAACATCTGTTAACTTAGCTAAGAAAAGTTGAGAGTATGTCAACTCTCAAATATAAGATAAAAACAAAAATTTTTACTAAAAAGTAGAATGTCTAAAACATGGACAGTTAGAGGATTTTTGTGTATATTTTAAAAGCGAAAGAAAGATTTCTGGCATCAAAAGGGCAATTCGCTTATCTACATCTTCAGGGATTAAATTTTATCATTTTAGTTGTTTGTCATCTTATTGTGTTTCTCTTTTCTGTGTGTTTTTTCCCAGTATATTTGTTGTCTCTGTCTCTCTCACACACACTTTCACATGTCCAGAAACTTTCCAGCTTTTAAAAAACTATTCACTCATAAAATTAAATTCTATTCCTATTAACAAATCACTTATATATTGAAAATTATAAGAATTCAATCTAAAAAGCGTGAATGGCTTTTCGTCTCCCTAGTACTCTGGGATAGAATGTTGATGTTTTACAAGTCTGCTCTAATTTTCACAGGAGTGGACAAACCTACACACAGAGCTGAACATTACATATTTTCCTGACTTGTTTTCTACAATTTTTATACTTACCCAAATCCAACATGCTTTTTCCTAGAAAATGTTCTCAGGTTCTTAAACTGTTCATTTCAGGAAAACTCAATCTACTTGTATGGTTCGGTCTTGTGTATCATCTTACACAGTAACAAAAAAGCAAATTTGATTCATTTAAATTACAGTTAAATTTATTTCTAAAAGACAAATATATCTTTGTCCACTTAAATGGATGTATGTCCATCTCACATGTGTGAGAGATTGGTTGTTAAGAACTCACAGCACCAATATATCCATATTTGTGCTAACAGAGCATGCTAACTTCCTTTTCCTAATCCCTGCATATTTTGTTCTACAGTTGTCCTATAAACATACAATGTAAAAGTACAGCTTCCCATTCATTAGTGGAAACATGTAAGCTATGTGCATGTCAAAATCTTATTTTAAAGAATTTCAAATAAATTTTAAAGAACTCTTTTAAAATTCCTAATTGTGTTAGACTCCTCTTTTGAATATTTTCATGACACCTTCTACTTCTTGTTTACCACAATTAGCATGGGTATAATTATTAAATTACTTTGTAATTACTTGTTTATAATTTTTTAAATTACATTGAAATTATTTGTTTTATCTCCCTCTCCCCTGAAAGCATCTAAATTCCTTGGGTGTAAGAACCACATCTCTGTTGCTCACTAGTGCATTGCTGCATAATGTAGGTAATGGAATATTTATGGAATAAAAGAATTAGTTAATAGATTTCAAGTTTCTGACTTCTAATTAAAATTGGGAATAATATTTTACGGCTCTAAGAAATGGCCTGTGGAAAGTTGGATTCTTGGCACTAAAACCAAATTCATTTGGATTGCTGCTACTTACTATTTCCAGTTCTGTTACTGACTATGATGCCAGTAAGGATAGAGAGAGTGAGGATACATTTCTCTGGCTCATTGAGCCATTTATAAATGAGAGAAAGTGACTATCCTGATAGTCTCTTTATTTTATGCAATTTTAAAGTGTTTGAATGACAGTTATGTCATAAAATAAAGTTATTCCATTAAGCATCTTTACATAAAATGATTTTGCAGTGCAAATCATATCCCTAGAGATGGTTATATAAACTCCTTCACTTAATCAACAGAAAGAAGATGCTTCTCTTGTCCTCACATGTCAGAATTGTAAAGGCATTCTACTATATAAGTTGTGTATCACTTTATGTTCATTATATCCATGACAATGTAAAACTAATTATGGGGAAAATCCCTGAAGCTCATTAGCTTTCATCCTCCCTTTAGGATCAATTATATAAAGAAAATGCGTTTCCGTAAGTAAGTGTTTTTGGCTCATCTCATCTCTATCTCATTTGGTCTTAGTAAACATGAATATTTACTTGAACTTGTCAACTTTTGAACAAGGTGTCCTGCTTCCAAAAATATTTATTTGGATTCTGGCCCACTGACCAAAAAAAAAAAAAAAAAGTCAGAAATCAGCCTGAGTAATACAGTTATGCCAAGACTTATCTGACTGGCAGTCAGGGGGCGACCCACGGAGGGTCAGATCCGCAAAATATTTCTCTCTGTTTCTTTAGACTCAAACAGCGCTGGGAAAGTTTCAAATATTTGGGGCCTGGAGAGCTAATGTTCTCATTCTATTAAAAGTTATTAACAGAAACATCCTTTCTCATCAATACCAGTTATCCAATCCAAAGAATGGTATTAATCACAAAGAATTATCTTAATTTAGCAATCGTAATGCCTGTAAATAATTTAACATGAAAATAAGGAAGATCCAAGTTATTTAAGTAAATTTATTTGAAGGGCAATAGAAGTATGGATGACTCTTTCTTGTGAACTCTAATAAAGTCTTCAAAAGCAATGTAACCTGAACCAGCAGTGGCCTCTATTTGTCTAATATACAGTAAAAGCCTTCACTAGCCTCTCCAGTGAATGATTTGACAAAATAAAACTTGCAACTTGAACCATATTATATGGTACATTAGGCAGAAAATGCCAAGAGCAGAAGGCAATCATCGGATGCGGGATCCGTGAAGCAAATTTACTGGAACTGTTAGTAAATTTACTGGATCATTGCTTTTGGAATTCAACATAAATCATGCAGGTCACTGTATTTAGAAAAAGTGTGTAACTGCCTAGATGAAATGTCAAAGATTGATAACAGAATGCTCCCTGATATTGCTTTTGTTGAGAATGCCTAGCATTTAGCTCAGCTTTTCCTTTCAGATCCAGACAAATGCAATTCAATCCCTATTCAAATAAAGGGCATGGGATAGTCTTTCAAAATCAATAATAGAAAATTGCTTTTGGAAAGCCAAATAGAAAATACACTGCCATTTGCGTATCTTAGGACATAGCCCCACAGATTGTGGTCCTACATTTAATTTGAGTCAACTCTCCAGCCAAAAGTGCTAAGCAGGAGCAAATGCCCAGTAAAAGAAAGTTGCTGCCATCTGCAGGCTTTGTGGAACTTCATCCTAACTAAACATTTTTTTGAATTTAAAGAACAAAGAATCCTTGTAGTAAACAGATTTGATGTATCAGCCTACATTACTCTAAAACCAAACTCTTAGAAAGCTCCTTGCTTACCAGAACCTTCCAGATAATCTCTGAGATTTCTGCACATTAGTCAGACTTTATCTTTTAAACCAGGATGCATTTAATTTTTAAAAGTATGTTAAAACATTGAATGGTTTTAGTAAATTAGCTTTCTTGTATAATGTAATACATAGGCCAGGCGCAGTGGCTCACATCTGTAACCCCATCACTTTGTGAAGTCAAGATGGGAATATCACTTGAGCGCAGGAGTTCAAAACCAGCCTGGGCAACATACCAAGAACCCGTTTCCACACACAAAAATAATTAAAAATTAGCCAGGCATGGTGGTGCACCTATGGTCCCAACTACTCGGGAGGCTGAGGTAGAAGGACCTCTTTAGTCCAGGAGATCAAAGTAGCTGTGAGCTGTGATCATGCCACTGCACTCCACCCTGGATGACAGAGCGAGACCATATCTCAAAAAAGTAAAGAAAGAAAGTAATGCATAAACAGCAGTAAGGATCTCTGATAACCTTTATATTTCCATAGCAGTATTCAACTCTATCTAATTTTTGTCATTTATAACCACCTAATTAATAACCTATAAATTACTACCATAGGCAGTATGGCAAAATGATTAGCAGCTCAAAATCTGAAGTTAGAGGCCTCCTTTTCCAGTTCTGGTTCTACAACTTATTAGTGGTATAACATTGGACAAGTAACTTGGCATCTCTGTGCCTCAGTTTCATCATCATTAAAATAAAAAAATAGACACTCCCTGTGGGTATTGTGAGTTTTAAATAAGGGAATGTACTCAGGGCACTGATAACAGTGACTGACACTTAGTTCATTAAATGTTAGCCTTATAATGATCAATGTTATTATCATAGCAAAACTCACACATGCAGAATTAAAGAATAGCATTTTATTATTTCTGTATATAAATTTGTTTGTGTGTGTGTGTTTATGTGTGTGTGTGTGTGTGTGTGTATATATATATATGCAGGTATTATATACATTCCCATATGTCAACATGGTCCTAAAACCAAAGTGTTTATACCAGTGATTCTTAAATTTGATTGAGCATTGGAATCACCTTAGGAGCTCTTAAAAATTATGAATGCTACAACTTTAGTTACAATGATTATGATGTTAATAAACTTTTTTTTTCAAAGCTCCCCAAGTGATTCTAATGTGTCAACAAAGTTGAGAACAAGTGTTATATATTTAGTTACATGTTTTTATTATAAAACATAAAACTAAAAAATAGATTATTTTAACTGTAGCCATGAATTGAAAATTTGTTATAATATTCATCAACTGTATAACAACTTTTACCATGTCTTGTATATTCCTTTTCAATATTACGCCAAGACCATTTATTTATAAAATAAACCATTTTTCTAGTTGTCAGCAGACTTTACTGGTGAATTGAATAAAAATCCTGTACTTATTTTTACCTACCAGCAACAATACCAGTAAGATTTTGTTATTAAAGTATACCTGATTATTTGGTACGTGTTAGGCGGGGCTATGCTATTGTTAGACTGATAGAAGTTTAGGGACACAGTTATGATAAAGATCATCTACTCCACTACTCAGTCTTTTAAACCTATGCCCACTTTTGAGAAATGACAATGATAGCTAATAATTGACAAAATGTACTAGGAGCTTATCATGTGTCAGCTACTATTCTGTGTGTACTCTGAGGTACTTATGAGGTAACTATTGTTACATCTCAACTTTTGAGTACAGAAATATAAATAACAAAAATGTTGAATAGCTCACTAGCTATAGCCTGGCCTGGCCAGGATTCAAACCCAAGGAGTTGGCTTCAAAACCCACAAGGGCATTTGCTATGAACATTTGGAAATAATAACAAAAACTGTGCACTTTATCAATATATGAATTTTAAAAATAGGTTCTTAATTTTTCTAAATATTTTATAATATTTAATGTACCTTTTAAAACAATTATAGAAACCCAAGAACTCTGATACTTCGGTCTTACTCTCCGAATCGAAAATCATTTCTCTTTTTCAACTTTCCCATTTTACAGAGTCATGCCTTTAGGAGTATTTCTTAAACACCTATACTGAGTGATGAACCAAATATTTAGGTCAGTGCAAATGTAATTGCAGCTTTATTATTATGTTTGCACCAACCTAATACATTCTTTTCTTCAATGACATTTTCAAAAATAGCTATATAAATGAAGAAAAGATATTAAATTTAATAAATGATGGGAAAGTGTCTGAAAATTCAAAAAGGGAGAAATGAATGAAGGTTTCCTGGTAGAAGTAGTGTTAAACTAAATCCCAAAAATGCATTGGGTTTAGATAAATGTAAATAGTTGGGAAAGATGTTTTGGACAAAAGCAAATTATTAGCAAGAGGGCAGAGATAGGAAAGTAGGTGATGAACAGGAAACAAAGTTCAAGTTGTGAGAAGAAAAAGTATGTAAGTGCATATTGGAAGAAATAATGTTGAAGCAGATGAAAGAAGTTCTGACAAATAGACAATTCTGTAAAAGATGTTTGAGGTAGAAGGGTGTAATAAGACTAGAGCTCAGCTTTGGACAGGTAAATCTGGCAGCAATGAATAAAATAGACTGCTACGCTAATAAGATAGACCTAACAAGAGAACTGCAAGAATGGCGGGGGAAATGGAGCAAATACAAAGAGTAAGAATAACATACAGCTAGGCTCTGTACATTTTGAGGAACAAATTAGATAGAAGAATGAAGAGGATTCTGAGCTCATGAGACAGGATAACCGAGAAGGTGAAGGGCTATCAACAAAAATATTAAGCCCGAGAGAACAGCAGATATGAGAAAGTAGACCACAATTTCAGTTTGAAATGTTGAATTGGAGAGATCAGAACAGTCAGGGGACTGTATAGCAGACATCTTTAAAATGTTGCATTGAAATTCAAGCACAAAATCAAGTTTGAGGACACAAATGGTGGGTGCTATCTACATATTGGTTACAGATTGTTTGTAAGATTGGGTGCAAGAGGATACTAATGCAAATCATATAAAGTAAGAAGAAGAAGAAATAATTTTTAAAGTCTTTGGGAAACATCTACATTGAGAGGCAAGCAAAGAAATTGAAAAATAAAAGTCATCAAAGAGAGTAGAAATTCAGGCAAGTGGTAATTAAGAACTTAAAAGTGGAGAGAGTTTTGAGAGAGAATATGTGGTAGACAATATCAAACGTTACAGGTAGCTCAAAGGTAGAAAAACCTGATGAAGTCCATAGAATTTGTTGATTAATAAGTTACTGATATCCTTTTCAAAAGGATTTGTAGTAAGCAGCATAATGGCTCCCCAAAGAAGTTCAAACCTAAATCCTTGGAACCTGTGAATATATCACCTTACGGGCAAGAGGGAGTTTGCAGATGTGACTCAGTTAAGGATTTTGATGGGAAGATTATCCTGGATTATTTGGTGGGTGCTAAATGTAATCACAGTGTCCTTACAAGTGAAAAAGGAAAGCAGGAGAGGGAGAGAAAGAGATTTGATGATGGAAGCAAAGTTCAGAGTGATGAGATTTCTGGCTGCGAGCAAAGAAATACCAAGCAGCCTCTAGAAATGGAAAAGGCAAGGAAAGGATTCTCACCTGGAACCTCCAAAAAGATCCAGTTCTGCCAACATCTTGATTTTAACCTTGCAAGACCGATTTCAGACTTCTGACCTCCAGGACTGTAAGATAATAAGTGTGTGATGTTTTTAAACCACTAAGTTTGTGGTAATTTGCTACCATAGAAATAGGAAACCAGTACAGCATTTCAGTCAAGGGGTAAAATGAGTTACTACTCTTCACATAGACACTTGAGCTCTGGAGTTAAGAGACTGAAATAAAATTCCAATGGCACAACTTACTTAATTTCTCCATGCTTCTGTTACCTTGTCTATAAAGTGAGGATAATAATAGTGCCACCTCGCAGGGTTGTCGAGAGTATTAAGTGAGAAAATACATGTAAAATAATAAGATAAATGTGCATTACACAACAAGGGCTCCATAAATGTTCACTATTCTTCTGTCATGTGATGAAGGATTAAGGAGTACCCTAGGCAGTGAAGAAGTAAAGCACTGAGACCTAGAGATGGCTAAGAACTGTGAAGCTCAGTGATCTCTTGGCTGCATGACTACTTTGAACAGACCCAAGACATTCCCAGCTGTCTTGGCCTCTGGTCCTACAGAGTTTTTGCACTATATCACATGATTTGGGGCAGAGGCTGCTAACTGACCCTTTCACTTTAGTAAAATACTCCCGTATTTTCTCCTGGAAATGGGTCACACACACAATTAGAGAGTATCTTTTGGATCCTCCCTTACAGATTGATGTCCCCAGATATGTACATTCTGATCAATGTACACAGATTGAACAGAATGGAACTGGAATGCGGATAGAATTGAAATATGCCACTTCTGGGTCAATTCTCAGAAAGAATCTGCTTGATCTCTACTTTCTCCTTCCCAATGCCTAAGGCTAGAATGTGGACAAGGTGCTAGTGAGCCAGCTTCAGTTACATAAAAGAAACATTCTCCAAGGGAATAGTGGACAACACAATGAAGGGAAACCAGACCCCTTATGACCTCACTGAGCAGGGCTCACCACTGCCTTGGACCATCCACCTACCTCATGACTATCATATGAGAGAGAAACAACTTCTATTGTCTCTGAGCCATTTGATCCATCTCTCTATATACCATTTCTATAAATAGTTTAATGAAATATAAGAGGAAAAAGGAATACAGAGCAAAAATAGAGGACCTCTGTGAATTCACATTGATAAATCTAATCATTACTCTAGGAAAAGTTTGGATTTCTCTTTTCTGAAGTTTAACAAAATATTGATAATAACTTTAAATAAAAGCATACTATGTTCTAGGCACTAAGCTTTTGGCATACATTGCCCCATTTAAACTCAAAATATTTCTGAGGGAGATCCTAGTCAGGCATGAGTTGGAGATACTGTAGGTGTGGTTCAAGACTACCACAATAAAGTGAATATTGCAAGATAGTGAGACACACAAATTTTGTGTTGCCCTGTGCACATAAAACTTATGTTTATACTACATTGTAGACTATTAAGTGCACATTCCTAAAAACATGATGCATATATCTTAATTAAAAATACTTTATTATAAAAAATGCTAATGATCATCTGACTCTCCAGTGAATTGTAATCATTTTGCTGGTAGAGGGTCGTGCCTCAATGTTGATGGCTGCTGACTGATCAGGGTGTGGTTGCTAAAGTTCTGGATGGCTGTGGCAATTTCTTAAAATAAGACAACAATAGAGTTTGCCACATCAGTTGATTTTCCTTTCATGAAAGATTTCTCTGTAGCATGTAAAGCTGCTGGATAGCATTTACCCACAGTAGAACTTCCTTCCAAATTGGAATCAACCCTTTCAAACTCGGCTGATGATTTACCAGAAAAGTTTTAAAAATACTCAAAATCCTTTGATGTCATTTCAACAATGTTCATAGCATCTTTACCAGGAATAAGTTTCATCTCAAGAAATTCTCTGTATATTCAAGAGAAGCAACTCCTAACCCATTAATGTTTGATCATAAGGTTGCATCAATTGAGTCATATTTTAAAGCTCCACTTTGAATCCTAGTTCTCCTGCTATTCTCACCACATATGCAGTTACATCCTCTAAGAAGTCTTGAACCACTCAAAGTCACCCAAGAGGGTTGAAATCAACTTCTAAACTCCTGTTAATGTTGATATTTTGACCTCCTCTCATAAATCGTGAATGCTCTTAAAGGCATATAAAGTGGTGAATTCTCTCCATAAGGTTTGCAATTTACCTCATCCAGATCCATCAGAGGAATAACCATCTATGTCAGCTACAGCCTTATAAAATGTATTTCTTAAACGATAAGACTGAAAAGTCAAATTTACTCCTTGATCCATGGGCTACAGAACTGATGTTGTGTTAGTAGGCATGCAAGCAACATTAATCTCCTTGTACATCTCCAGCTCTTGGGTGATTAGGTACATTGTCAATGAGCAGTAATATTTTAAAAGAAACTTTTTTTTTCCTAAGCAGTAGGTCTCAGCAGTGCGCTTTAAATATTCAGTGAACCATGCTGTCAGCAGAGGTACTGTCATCTAGACTTTGCTGTTCTTTTTATAGAGTACAAGCAGAGTAGGCTTAGCTTAATTCTTAAGGACTGCAGGATTTTTGCAATGGTAAATGAGCATTGGCTTCAACTTAAAGTCAACAGCAGCATTAGCCTCTAAGGAGAGAATCCGCCCATCCTTTGAAGATTTGAAACCAGACATTGACTTCTCTCTATCTATGAAAGTCATAGATAGGATCTTCTTCCAATATGAGACTGTTTTGTCTTTATTGAAAATCCATTGTTTTGAGTAGCCGCCTTTACCAATTATCTCAGCTAGATCTTCTGGATAACTTGCTGCAGCTTCTACATAGCACTTGCTACTTCACCATGCACTTTTACGTTACGGAGAGTTTTATGTTTCCTTAAACTTCATGAACCAACCTACGATAGCTTTAAACTTTTCTTCTGTGGCTTCCTCACCTCCCTCAGCCATCATAAAATTAAAGAGAATTAGCGTCTTGCTCTGGATTAGGCTTTGGCTTAAGGGAATTTTGTGGCTAGTTTGATCTATCCAGACCACTAAAATTCCTCCATATCAACAATTAGCTATTTTGCTTTCTTATTATTTATGTGTTCACTGAAGCAGCACTTTTAATTTCCTTCAAGAACTTTTACTTCGCTTTCATAACTTGGTTGTTTGGCACAAGTGGCTGAGATTTTGGCCCATCTCCGCTTTCAACATGTGTTCCATACTAAGCTTAATCATTTCTAGTTTTTTATTTAAAATGGGAGACTTGTGATTTTTCCTCTCACTTGAACACTTAGAGGGCATTGTAGGATTATCAATTGGTCTAATTTCAATATGGTTGTGTCTCAAGGAATAGGAAGGCCCAAGGAGAGGGAGAGAGATGGGGGGAATGGTTGGCCAGTGGAGCAGTCAGAACACATCCAGCATTTAATTTCACCATCTTTTATGGCACCCTGAAACAATTACAATAGCAGCAACAAAGATCACAGATCACAGATCACCATAACAAATATAAAACAATGAAAAAGTTTGAAATATTATGAGACTTACCAAAGTGTGACACAGAAACAAAGTGAGCACATGCGGTTGGAAAAAAATGGCGCCAATATGATTGTTCAAGGCAAGGTTGCTACAATAAAGCAAAGTACCATAAAATGAGGGTATCTGTATAACCTCATCTTCAAATATAAAAGCTGAATCTTAATGATATTGACTAAATTGCCCAAGATCCTACACATAGAAAGTGCCGGAGTTAGAATTTATCCCAGGCTTGCCTAACTCTACAATGCCAGGTCTTAACAACTGTATATCCTGCCTTCCATGTAATAACAGTAAACAGTAATTTAGTAATTTGGGGGGAAACTAAGGTACTAAGATTCTGCACTACATCATTTTTATGTTGTATCTAAGCAGCTGTGATTTTTTTTAAAATGTCTACTGGGAAACTTTATATATTGACCTCTTTTCCCTAAACTTTATCAGTATCTGCACATTTTTTAAATTGTAAATTTAAATTTGAACTGCATGTCTTCAGTGCACACACATACACAAACACATCAAAATTTTCAAGAAGTTAACAGTGGGGTCTGCTGGCTCAACTCATAAACAGAATGTGAGGAACAGCTGTTTAGGCTTTAGAACCTAAGCTGGTAATGGTTACTTGTTCAAAGGAGCTAATATTAAGAAAATTATAATTTTAAATAGTTATGTATTCTTCAAATAGACATTCTTCAATAAAACAGTCACTAAAAGTTATTTCTGCAAATTGAAGTCTATCTCCTAATTACATGTTTTTTTATCTTTAGATGAGACTTCCCAAAAACATAGATTGCAGTTTTGTTTAAAGCCTGACCAGAAATTTCGGTCCGTTTTCGGAAGCATACTATTTTCTTCAAGGGTAATGTATATAGTTGGGCAGGAGTAAATACCACTAATTTAAGATTTGATTTCTAGACCAGGAGTCAGTTCAGGAAAGGACAACAAAGCCTGATTGTGAATATGCTGTGGACATTTGAGCTACTACTTAGGAATATAAAAATTCCTCCATTAAAACCATGTAACATATTCCAAATGAGCTACAAATTTTGTGCTGAGTACTAGATATAATATGACTCAAATCTAGGCTCAGTGAAAAAGGTATACAAATACAGACAATTTCAGATTTATAATCAAGGCTTTGTTATGCATATAAAATAACCAGTTAACAAGCCTTTATGTATTGCATATTTAGTATGTGTCCAACATAAATGTAAGTGCTTTGTGAAAAACAATTTTTTGTCAAGTTCTTTTTCTTCAAAGAGCTTTAAACTTACTAGGAAGTCAAGTCTGGCTAATGGCAAACATTATTATATGCCTGGCATACTCTATGGCCTTTACATTCATTAACTTATTTAATATCCACAAAAACCCTATGAAGTAGGAATTTTTATGGTCTCTATTTCATGTATGAAGAGACTGAGTCACCAGAGGCTAAGGGACATGCTTGAGATCATGAGGTGGCTTGTGAGTGGCAGAGTGCAGTCTAACTATAGATGATACTGCATTATCTCTACGCTGTTCACCATACTACAGGCCTCCTGCTTCCCATCGATCATATGGAAGAATTGTAGAAAAACAGCAAATGGAATGAAAAAATATTTCTATCCAAGAATGCCACGTGCTTATTTCATAAATTTCAAATACAAAGGACAAATAACAAGAAAACAGAAGAATATTGATAATAGTTGAGGATGTTTAGCACTATGTTCCAGATACCATGTTACAAGCTAGACATACAGTTCCTCATTTAATCTTCATAAAATCATATGAAGTAGGAGCTCTTATACCTATGTTACAGATGATGAGACTGGGCTTAAAGAGGATAGTAATTTTCCCATGATTACAAAACTGGTACATGGCAGATCCAAAATTGCAGCCCAGGCATACTGAACCCAGAGTCTATGCTCTTAATCCCTAGGTAGCATTGGATCTTCCTCCATCCAGAACTAGGTTTTCAAGGGATCTGGAGAAATAATTACCAATCATTTTTTTTAAATAAATCTACCTTATCTATCGCATTCCTAACTCAGCCTAAACTTTATTCAAGGTCACCTTCTAGACCAAAACTAAATTAGTAAGAACTCACTTACTAACTTTGATTTCTAGGTGCTCTTGCATAAAACAGTGACTTCTCATCTGTTTTTTATGCCTACATGTCTTTTACAAGAAATGCAGACTCTGGATTCCCTATCACTGGGCCAGTTCTATTTCTCCAAACAGCCAATGAAGTGAAAAGAGAAAGATCATTTGAAATGGAGATGTCCTCAATTTTTCACTTGTGCCAATCTAGTTTCTGCCCAAGGAGAAGGTTGAAAAACACTTTTAATTTAGAAAAAAAAAGTAGAAATTAAAAGTTTTGAAGTCCAAATACCTATTTTAAATAAACTTTTATAATAAGTAGTTTTTTGAATAAAGAATAATCTTCTAAATTTTTTCATTCATTTATTTATGTGATAAAAGCTGTTAGTAGTGACTACATGTTACTCACTGTTTCAGTTGTTTTAGAGACATCAGTAAACAAAAGTACAGACACTGTCATCATGGAGCTCTGGGTCTATTGAGGGAGCTGATTTTTAACCAATGCATCAGAACAAATGTTAAATCACAGCTATGATAGGTTGTATGATGGAAAGATATATATTATTATGTGAATATAATATAGGAAGACATGATATAAATCTTGATGTCAGATAAAACTTCTCTGATGAAAAAATGTTTACACTGCACTCTGAATGACTAATGGACAGTTATAAGAGGGGAGAAGATTGTACAGGCAGATAGACCTGCAGGGGAAAAGGAGGGAACATTCAAGAAACTAAAGAAACTCCAGTATGGAGCCTGGGGCAAGATGAGGTTAGAGTGAGAGGCTGAGTCAGAATTGATAGGGATTGATACACTGTGTTAATGATTTTGATCACTGTCTTATGAAAGATGGAATCCATTGAAAAATTCTAACCATGGAACCACAAGGGGACATAAAAATATTCTGGCTGCATCAAGAAATTTGGAAGAGAGAAAGAGTGATACAAGGAGAGCAATTCAGAAGTGTGTCAGTTCAGGCCCTCCAAGAAGCAGATGCCAAGATGGAGTTGGAAACTGCAAGAGATTTATTGAGGGTGATGTCTGTGAAAGATAATAAGAGAAGGAGCTATGAGAGGTAAACGTTTCAGACTGCAAAACAAGTCTGAAACCTATGTAAAAGAGGTATCAGGAAGAAAGAATTTATGAACAGAGCCTCAGACTGCCATACAGCTTTGACAAAGTCTCAATCAGTTCAATGAAGAGCTGCAATGCAAAGACTATTCATAGAGGAGTTCCACACTGGTCAAAAGAGGCCAAGCCCTACTATCCTTTCTGTGATTAGTCATTGGCTGGGGCTGCAAGAAAAGTGTTTCACCTCAGCTCAAAATGTGGGGCCAATCCTGGAGGCAACAACCATCATCTGCACTCCTTATGGCTGGTTTTCTCTTGAAGGGAGATCTGGTCAGTGCCCCTCTGAGGCTGTTACAGAAGCAGTTGACCTAAAAATCCAAGCTAGAGATGAGGTAGGTGGTGGTGAAGATATAGATGAAGCAAGATGAAGGAAGGGAAGGGAAGGAAGGGAAGAGAAAGGAAAGGGGAAGGGAAAGGGAAGAGAAAAAAGAAAGGAAGGGAACCAGAGAATCCAAATTTGTATTTAGAGAAAAATATTAACATTCTAAATTGAATTTTTTTTCCTTGTAAACTAATTAAAGGACCCAAGGCCTTCTATATCCAAAAACATTTAAATCTCCTAAGCATGAATCTTTTAGGTCTGGGGCAAAAGCCACACCAAATAATAATAAAACATGAATCTTTTATGTAAGAATTTTCTATAGTAGATTTTAAACTTTGCTAAAATAATGGAGAACATTTAAATCAATTTTTAATGACAAGAAACTACCTCTATCTGAATGACCTCCAGATCTTGAGAAAATCTCATTTTACGGAATAGACATGCTATCAAAAGTTTTTTATGAATCTTTTATTTTTCTAATGGAATAATATTTCTCCACTAACATGCTTTACCTTCATCCCAAGTCATTCTTCAATTGGCAGAAATGACTAATAATTTGGCTTTTAGTTTCCCTGTAAAGAATCTGTCCTGTACTAAATGATTTATAATGGTAAAACAAAAAGAAGTAATAGACAGCACTTTTAGAGAAGAGGGACTTTTCAGTGAATATTTTTATGACACAAGGTAACAGAATGGCAGTTCAAACGAATAGCCATCTTACCCTCTAAACTGTACTGATTAGAATGGGATAGCTGTGCTACAAAAGCAAATAAATCTCCAAGTATCAGTGGCTTAACACACCAAAGTTTATGTATCACTTTCTGATATGTATCACCATCTGATAGTTAAGGAGCACTTCAAAGCATCTCTCTTTCTTGTGGTAACTCAGGGACTCAGTTTCTCTTTATCTCTACTCATCACTTCCAGGGGAGCTGTGGCAACAGAAAATGTGGCTAGAATGTCCTAAACAAGTATACATGGTCAGGCCTATATAGCATGCACCATTTCTGCCCACTGTCCACTGGACAGAATGAGACGCATGGCCTAAATCTAACTGCAAAGGGAACAACAAATGTGGAGCACATGGGTAGTTAGTTGGTGAAACTTTGCTCTCTCAGCTGCCACTTATCAGGTTTTATTATTTGCAGGTACACTTCAAAGAGTATCTACAGCACATTGGAATTCATGCTCTAATCAGTTTCTATTAGGCATGTGTGTATGCATGTTTGAATACACAGGAAACCGCAGAACTCATACCCTGCCTGATTGAACACTAAAACTCTCCTTCTACAGATGCCCCTTTTCCCTTACTATTTCATTATTTGAAAACTTCCTCTCCTTTTGCATCTGTTTTTCTTTCTCTTTTATCTGCTGTTGTTTAGGAGCATCATATCACTTCCAATTTGTCCTTTCTCATGTAACTACAGGGCTAGTCCAAGGTGTGGTCAACCGCAGCAGAACTAGTTGAAATGCAGGTGACTTGGAAGAAGAGAGAGATGGAAATCATTAGCTACCACTCACCCTCAGTTGCCACCATGAAGTCTTCCAGCCCAATGCTGATTTTACAGACAAAATACTTAGCCTCCCTCCCTCCTTCTTACCCACCAACCAACCAATGTGAGAAAATCAAGAAATAGATGTTTTTGGAGTCCTGAGAGAAGAGAGAGGAAATTCCTGCTTTATAACAGTACCCCAGTAAAGAAACAAAACCGAGAAAGAAAGAATTTACGATATGTCTAGACAGAGATGCAGCCTTTCAAATGATCTCCCAGCCTGAAACGTGGCAACAAAGCATCAGAGAGCTGCCAGGACTGAAGGAGCCATGTTTCTGGGGACATAGGATGTCATCGATAAGCAATGACAAGATCACTGCTGCCACACACACATGCACACCCAGGTAAGATCCTGGGACTCTGGCATAAGCTGGAGAGTTGGAGGAAACACCAGGAAGGATAGAGTCTACCTAACTTCCAGCTTCATTCCACTGCAACAGCAAAGATGCATAAAATCCAAAATATAATTGAGTTGTTTCATAAAAAATTAAGTTATGTTTGTAATCATGCTCAAATTCCACTTAAAATGGGGAATTTTGTTGCCTGATATAAATAATTTTGTTGCAACATAACATTATGTAAGGAAAATAAAATGTAGCTCCTAATCATTATTCAGTGAGGTAATGGTAACTATTAAAAGACAAAGACACCTCGTAATTTGAATTGCTTCCAGCTGAGCAGTCATCATCTGGACATATGCTATCAAATGATACTCCTCCCACTGAGCCATTATGCATTTAATGCCTTTATTTATCTGCCAAATTTCAAGACTGAAACAAAGGTTTTAAAATTTAAAAATGTGCTATTAAACCAAATGTAAGATAAGCTATCCTGCCTAATCCAATAAAATACAGTATTTCATTATGATTAGTATTAATTTTCTGTAATTTTGTAAATTCCCAGGCAAATATAATCTTCTAAGATAGAAAAAAAGTCTTCATACTGTAAGAAATTGTGCAATAAAATTATTAGCAAATAATTCCATTTATTGCTGAAAGGTATAGGCTTTGGAGTTAGATGGACCTGGATTTACATCCTGGTCCTAACACATTTTTTTATGACCCTGGGACATGTATTGGATCTCATTAGGCCTCAGTTACTCATATATTAAATGGTAATGGATATAATTTATAAAGTTTAGAGGAAATAATAAAATTGAGTACTCATCATAGTGCATGAAATAGAGTAAGCACGAAAAGAAGTGATTAGTTATGAATATTATAATGTACAGTGTGAAAATATGTAATTCAAAATCTAAGCAGTTGGAATTTTTAAATATTTTGAGACTTAAGAGAGTGTGATTATGGGACCTGAATCATGTAAACTGGGAGCTGTAACCTTTTCTTCTCTGATTATAGATTAGCCTTTTTCCTTACCTACATTGTTTTCTAAAATGGTGTAAAGGACTAACAGGCACCAGGGAGGACCCCTTCCCTCTTAATTGTTGATCTTCACTATAGATGAACTTCCTTCTTTCCTATCCCATACAAACACTGCGTGATTATCACATTGCCTAAGATGGAATGTTAAATACAGAATTTTAAACTGGAAAAAAAGAAGGAAAGCTATAATTAAATTGTTGTGTAATTAAACCAGCCTTGTATAGAAAATGTTATAATCTTACTAAATTTCTTTGTTTTCTGCCTATATAAGCAAGATCTTAACTAACTTTAACTTTTGAGCATTGACCCCATTCCTTTGAAGTCTCTGTTACTTGAATGGCCATTTTTAGGTTTTTACTTAAATAAATTCTTTTGAACCAAATCCTGATCTGTTCAATTATTTCATATTGACAACACTATGCATGGTATCAAAAATCAAGTAAGGTAAGATTATTGTAGCCTTTGAAAGTTCAGGCTTAGTAAAATGTCTAAACCACAGAAGCTTAAAGAAAAAGGCATAGGAATTGGTCTGATAGCCTACAATATGTCAAAGAAAAACTCTTTGGTCAGCATTGTGCTCTTATTTTATTTATTCGGGAAAGAAATTGTTGTGCTTTGCATCTATATAAAAAGTGTACTGTTTGCTCAAAATCCACTTTTATTTTATTTTATTCTATTTTATTTTATTTTTTGAGACACAGTCTCACTCCGTCACCGAGGCTGGAGTGCAGTGGCACAATCTTAGCTCACTGCAACCTCCACCTCCCAGGTTCAAACAATTCTCCTGCCTCAGCCTCCCCAGTAGCTGGGATTACAGGCATGCACCACCATGCCTGGCTAATTTTTGTATTCAAAATACGCTTTTAAAATGCCATTCCTACAAAAGAAAGCAGAGACTAGAGAGGCTATAGCCCCTTAAAGAAGAGAAGCTAAATAACAGAGATCTACATTTGACTGGATTTTCCCTTAAGGATACTTCCTGGTTTGTATTGTGCATAGATGATTGAGCTCAAGCAGTAAGTAGCTGTCTTATTTTGCATAGGGGTTATAGGTCAAAGTTCAGGGTTGATCATTGATAGGAATTAAAAAGGGAAATTCCAAACATTGATACAAGGGGTAGAAAGAAATTATTTAGGCAGGTAGTGAGGGCAACAAAGTCCTTGGTGGAATTTCCCTTTTAATAAAAAGCAACCCCCAAATCATTTATTTCCTAACAAAGAGTAGCCTAAAAAATCAAGCTGCAGACATAGATAAGCAAGCTGGAAGCTTGCATGGGGGAGTGCTGGCAGCTGTGCCAATAAAAAAGGGCTACCTGAGTGCCAGGTTATGTTCAACATGGAGGCTCCATCTTCCCTTTTCTTTGTCCCCACATGTACAGTAAAGGAACAGGCAGCATGGCACTGGTCAGGTAGAGAACTCATCTGCATAATAGAAGATCAGGATAGGGGTAGCCAGCTTTTTTGCACCCTATGAAAATGGCACACCTGGTCCAACCAATCTTCTGTGCCTTATGTAAATCAGATACCGCCACCTCAAGTTCATCTATAAAATCTCCTGCACTTCACCACAAAAGCAGCAACCCATTTCTCTGGGACCCCTCTCTCTGAAGCAGAGAGAGCTCTTCTCTTTCTTTCATCTATTAAACTTCCACTCTGAACCTCACTCTTTGTGTCTGCATCCTAGTTTTCTGTGGCCATGAGACAACGAATCTCACAGTCAGCCAACAACACTGCTTCAATATGAGAAAGCCACAAGTGGATCAGCCCTAAACTCTGCATGTAAATACCTGTTAAATCTTTGGATGAGTTCTATGTTTTAGAATGCAAACATTCCTTGAGAGTTCTAGGAACCAAGACAAGGATTACAATTGCTGAGTAGTGATTTCATCAGTGGTCTATTTCTGGGAAAACAGGGTTTGGAGTTCAAGTTGAACCAAATTATGAGGGATTGTCAGCCTTACAATAATGACTATATACTAATGACCATTGGATTAAAGGTAAAATAAAAAAAAATCACCCTAACGGAGCCTAAATAAATTTTCCACAGGATCTAGGTGACTTGACAGTGATTTAACTGCCTGTTAGAACAAAATTCAATGCCTCAGAGCAAGACAACTTAGTCAACTGTCCATAACATATCATCAATAATTGTTAGCACTACGCATGCAAATAAACAGGTAAAATTGGTCCATAATCAAAACGAAGCATAAACAGAAGTAGAGCCACAAATAATCCAAATGTCAGAATTATTATATAAGAATGACACAATATAAATATGTTAAGAAAATTGTAGGAGAAGATGAATGTAATAACAGGATTTTCAATAGATATTTTAAAACTCTAACAAAAAAATTAAAATCCTAGAGCTGAAAAATACAATATATAAATTAAAAATACATTGAATTAATAGCAGATTAGATTCTGCAGAAGAAAGAAACAAGAAATGTAAAATCAAGTCAAAAGCACAAAGGAATAAAAATAAAATAACCACTGACTCAATGAACTATAAGACAATGTCAGACTGTACAAAATAAGTGCAATTAGAGTTCCAGAGGTAGATAAGAGGGAGAATAGGGCAAAAAAACTTTTGAAGAAATAATGGTCAAGTTTTTCCAAATGTAAAAAAGAAAATTGGAAACCCTCAGAGTTGATAAACTTGGTGATATAATTTAAATGTTTGTCCTCTCCAAATAGCATGTTGAAGTGTAACTTTCAAAGTTGGAGGTGGGGCCTGGTGGGAGTTATATGGGACATGGGGGTGAATCCCTCATGAATGGTTTAGTACCATCTTCTTGGTGATGAGTGAGTTCTCACTCAGTTGGTTCACACAAGATCTGGTTGTTTTAAAGAGTCTGGGACCTCTCCCTTCTCTGTCTTGCTCCTTTTCTTGCCATGTGATATGCTGGCTCCTGCTTCACCTTGTGCCATGAGTAAAATCTCCTAAAGTCCTCACCAGAAGCTGAGCAGATGCCAGCACCATATTTTCTGTACAACCTACAGAACTGTGAGCCAATTAATCCTCTTTTCTCTATAAATTACCCAGCCTCTGGTATTTTTTTGTAGTAAGGCAAAAATGGACTAATAAAAAAAAAATGCAACCAAGGAGTGGGTCATTGCTATAAAGATACCTGAAAATGTGGAAGTGGCTTTGAAGTTCAGTAATGGACAGAGATTGGAAGAGTTTAGATGGCTCAAAAGAAGACAGGAAGATGAGAAAAAGTTTAGAGCTTCTTAGAGACTAGATAATTGGCTGTGACCAAAATGCCAGTAGAAATATGGACAGTGAAGGGCAGGCTAATGAGTCCTCAAACAGAAATCAGAAGTTTATTGAGAATGAGAGGAAAGGTTACCCTTGTTATGCCCTAGCAAAGAACTTGGCTGCATTGTATCCATGTGCTCGGGATTTGTGTAAGGCTGAACTTAAGAGTGATGACTTAGGGTATCTGGTGGAAGAAATTTCTAAACAGCAAAGCATTTGAGAATTGACTTGGATGCTTCTGACAGCCTACAATAAGATATGAGAGCAAAGTTATAACATAAAGTTTGAACTCATATTTTAAACGGATTCAGAGTGTAAAAGTTTGGAAATCGTGCATCCTGGACTGTGGAGCAACTACTTGTTAGAGAGATTAGCATGACTAAATGGGAGCCAAGTGCTAATATTCAAGACAATGGGGAAATGCCACAAAGGCATTTTAGAGGCAGCCCTTCCCATAACAGGCCCAGAGGCCTGGGAGGAAATAATGATTTGCTTTGGGAGGCCAGGTCCAGAGCACTACTGATCTGTGCCACCTCAGGGGGCTGCTTCCCACATCCCAAATGCTTTGCTCCACCAGTGGCTCAATGGGACCTAGGTAGAGCGCCAGCTGCCACTTTGGAGAGTGCAAGGCACTGTAAATCTTGGCAGCCTCCAAGTGGTGTTAAGTCTACAAGTGTACAGCATGCAAGAGTGAAGAAGGCTTAGCAGCTTCCACCGAGATTTCAGAGGATGGATGAAAAACCTGGGTCCCCAGACAGAAGCCTGCTTTAGGGTTGGAGCTCTCACAGAGAGGTTGTGCTACGGCAGTGCCAAAGGGAAATATGGGGTTGGAGTCCCCACTCAGAGTTCCCTCTAGGGCACTGCCTAGTGGAGCTGTGGAAAGGTGGCTGCTGCCCTCCACATCCAACAATAGTAATCAGCAGCTTTCACCTTGAGCCTGGAAAAGCCACAGGCACTAAACCGCAGCCCTTAAGAGCAGCCATGAAGGCTGCACCCGGCAAAGCCACAGATGCAGAGTTTCCCAAGACCTTTGGAGCCCACATGTTACACTAGTGTGCCTTGGATGCAGGACATGGAGTCAAAGAAGTTTATTTGGGAGTTTTAACATTTAATGTCTGCCTTGATGAGTTTCAGACTTGCATGAGGCCTGCAGCCCTTTTCTTTTGGCCGATTTCTCCCTTTTGGAATGGGTATGTTTACCCAGCACCTATACCCCTATTGTATCTTGGGAGTAGATAACTTGTTTTTGATTTTACAGGATCATAGGTGGAAGTAGCATGCCTTGAATCTCAGATGAGACATTCAGCTTTGATGTTGGAACAAGTTAAGACATTGGGGGACTATTGAGAAGAGATTATTGTATTTTGAATAGTGAGGAGAACATGAGATCTTGGGGGTAGCACAGGGGTGGAATTATATAGTTTGGATGCTTGAACCCTCCAAATCTCATGTTGAAATGTGGGACCTAGTAGGAGATACTTGGGTCATGGGGGTAGATCCCTTATGAATGGCTTATAGCCATTCCCTTGGTGATGAGTGAGTTATTGCTCAGTTAGTTCATGCAAGATCTGATTCTTTAAGAGAGTCTAAGACCTCCCCTTTTTCTATCTTGCTCCCCCTCTCGCCATGTGACATGCTAGCTCCTACTTTACCTTTGGCAATAAGTAAAATCTCCAAGGCCTCACCAGAACCCAGGCAGATGCCGGAACCATGCTTTGTGTACAGACTGAAAGACCATGAGTCAATGAAGCCTCTTTTCTTTATAAGTTATCCAGCCTTGGGTATTTTTTATAGCAATGCAAAAACAGACTAAAACACTCAGTAAACTTCAAACTGGTTAAATAAAATTTTTAAAAAGCACTCCTTGTATGATAAGAGGAGAAAAGAAACAAGTACTTACATAATAGTTAAACTGCTGAAAATCAAAGCTATAGAGAATGATTTTAAAAGCAACCAGAGGAAGACATGTTATATACAGAGATATATTAATGGGAATAACAAATGACTTCCAGTTTTATTTTTAAAAATGAAGAAAAAAGACAATGGAACAATATATTTAGTGACTTGAAAAGGAAGCTGTCAACATGGAATTCTGTATCTGGTAAAATGTCTTCCAAAAAAATGAAAAATAAAGCTATGTTTAGATACACAATTTTTGGCAAAATTAGTTGCCAGCAGATTTGCATCAAAAAAAAAAAAACATGCTAAAAGGAGTTCCTTGGGCTGAACAGAAATGAAGATACCAGATGAAAATCATTGAAACACAAAGAAATGACAAGCAGTAAAACTGGTAAATATGTGGGTAAATATAAAAGACAATTTTTCTTTTCTTAATTTTTTAAAAAGACAATATAATGTTTAAATTTTTAAAAATAATGGCTATGGGTTTTACTTCAGCATAGAATGTAGAATGCTTCAAAAGAATATCACTGTCATCCTAAAACAAGAAAAGCCAGTTAATCTACCAAAAAAAAATTATTAAGCCTTCAGAGACCTCAGGTAGTAAGAAAACAAACTAAACCGAATTTCAAAGTGTGACCAGACCCTCTGAAGAGAGGGTGGACACATGAACCATTTGGCAGAGTACAGGAGGACGTGGTCGCTTCCATAAAAGTAAGCAAGAATAAATAAGCTATAACTTTAACAAATTCCTAAAGGCCAAGTATGGGCTAATGGAACAATTTGGAATAACTTAGAGCCTCAGGTAGAAGGGTAATTTACACTCACACACAAAGTTTTTTCCATGGTCCTCCATTAGGTACTCATGAGAAAGATCTGGGAAGGCAGGAGATCAGGACGAGCCATTTCCCCCAGTGGGAGCATCATGTGGGAGGTAATCAGCTACCACCAGGACATGAACAAAAACACTGCTGCTTCCATTTTTCTGAGTGAGGTGTAAATAAAAACTTAGGATACCGGAGAAGAGAAAGCAAACTTTCTTGGTACTACATACAGCCTTGCCAGAAATCCATTGCTTCTAAGCAGTGGTAAGAATTCTTATCTTCCACCCCAAATCACAAAGTGGCTGCAGTGTTGTGTTTCTGGTGCAAAATGGTAGCAGGGAATATTCTAACATCTAGCAGCAGCAATTTCCTCTTCAAACAGTTCTACAGTGTGGTTGGGGCATTGTTCCTGGACATTCAGCCTTGAATTTGTTCTTTTGATGGCCAATGGTCCTGTGAATGCACTGTTATCCTTTTAAATAAATTATTTTTTGTTTAATTCTCTCAGACTCCTTTTTAGCTGCTTGCAGTTAAAAACATTGACCAATGCAGTTAGTTTGAGCAAAGGAAAGCAATTCTAACAGTCAGTGCTACATTAAAAAAATTCACATTGATACTTTTCTATGTATATGGAAAGTAGGAGTAATCCTGGCTGTCAGAAGGACTATCCTCAGAAGAAACTTACTCTGTATGGAATGAACAGGAGAAGTTAGGACCAGCATTTAAGGCTTTGTTCCCTGAAATCCTGCCATCCCTATGGAGATCAGATAAGTCAGTGTGAAGAAATCAGTCTTCCAATCACTCTAGGTTCGTGCAGTGTGAAACCTAATGGCTTATTTTTCTTGTTTTAACCACTATTCCCAAGATGAACTTATACACAGGAACTCAATAGCAAAATTATGCAAAGACAGAAACAATAACATTTCTGAGAATCTATGAAGCCAAAAGTATCCTATGTACACTGGATATGTTTTTATTTAAATAATGTGGTGCATGTTTTGGTTTCTCAACTGCAGTCTATTGTAATGAAGTAATTTGACTCCCAGATTATAAGTGATTCTAAAGCACCACTGGAGTGAATACACCAGCTCTTGCCAATGATAAGGGACAATGATCTTCTGACTAGTGGTTTCTCAAGTCTAGCTTCTCATTGCTGTATCCTGGGAGAGATTTAAGAAATGCTGAAGCCTGAGTCTCAGCACCAGAAATTCTGATTTATTTGTTCAGAAGTGTGGACTGAGTGTCAAGATCTTTTCCATTTCCGCAGGTGTTTCTAACGTGAACCAAAGTTCAAATCATACCTCTAAACCCTGGCTACTCCACAGACCAGCAGCTTGGTGGAAGTTGGTTAGAAATTTATCATCTCAGGCCCTGGACCTGTACTATATATCAGAATCTGCTTCTTTAAAAGGTCTCAGATGGTACAGATGCTAAATTTTGATACATACTGCCCTAGGCCTTTTTATATAGTTTGTGTTGGGACATTTAATAAAACTCCAGAATTGTCATTAGTGAATAAACATTGTTTCTTCCTCATGTCCTTTCCTTCTTCCCTCCTCTCTATCCTCTTCCACGCCTTCCAGTGTTTAGAGCACCCTGAAAAAATGTTTTTCATCACACTTCAGGTTAACAACTTATATGCATGGGATTATATTCAAAATCGACATCTTCCCCTGGAAATTAAACATTTCACAATTAGCACGGCTATGGCTTAAGATGCTAAATGTACCATGAAGCATAACTGATACTAATCATGGGGTGGCTTGTGAGGAAAACAATATTGATAGAAGACATTTTGCACAAAAAGGATATTTTACCATGAAATAGAAAAAACCACTTTATTACATGCATCATTCTAACTTCATTAAATTGACAATGATATTGTTAACTACAATTTTTTGTAGACTAAAGTAAAAAATAGGTCCTTCTGAATTTTAAAACAACAATATTTCACAGCAAGAAGACACATCATAACAAATTATTTTACAATAAACTGGGTTGGTTGTTTGGCTTTTTCTGCTTTGTTTCATTAGTTTTTTGTTTGTTTTTATGAAACAAGAAAGAGAAATTAAGAAAGCACAGAAATATATTCTAATTACCATTATTTTTTCTCATGTTTTAGCATAGATTTGATTCATATTATTTCATAAGTCCATGAATACCAAATGAAAGTATGTTGGATTTTAAAAGTTGGTATTTTAGCTTAGAACATGGAGCATAAAAACCTTCTAAACAGGGAAATTCCTGAACCTTGATAACAGTTTTTATATACAAATATAAGAAGCTCCCTTTAGGAGCACAGTTCATCATTCTACCAGATTTAGACTAAATGATTGTTTTCCTATGTACCCAGAATTTCCTAATATCTGGATTTCTGCCTACTCCCACTTTCTGTTACTTCTGTATTTCCTCATCCCAAGAATGGTCACGCTTTATTAGTATTCCTTCAGTGCCCATCTTTCACGGAAGACATTAATTTCAGAGAGCAGAAAACAGATCTGGCTGTTCATTGCTGTATTTGCAGCCCTAAACACAGTGACTGGCACATGGCAGGAATTCAATAAATTCATAGTAAGAATTTAATAATTAACTAAGAATGAGTGATATCCAAGTATGTTTTTTATCCACTCAAGTACTAACAAAATTTTTCCCAATAGAAGAAAAAAATTTATAAAATCAGAAACTCTCTTATAAATTTACTAAGTTTCAATTATAGACTTCTCTTATCAATGTTAGTAAATGGAAATGAAACACCTACAAAGAAGTCCTGCTGCATTTTTCCAGCTTGACAATTGTGCTACTCAACACAAAATAAAAATCCAAAATTTCCCTTCTCACAGTCATCTGTGAAAATCATACTACAATACACATCAAACAGATCTTACCCAGAATACAACTTTTTAAAATTCCCATTTTGTATTTCCTACAAGGCTCTTGACACATTCCACACAATTTCATACCGGTCTTTTATATTTTCCTGGGTTATGGCTCCTCCTATCTGAATACACTCTTTTGTGATGCTGAGTGGGAAGATGGTTCCCCTTAGTCTTCTGAAGTTCTAGCTGCAAATTCATACTAGGATTCCTTAGGACCTTGCCCTTTTTTTTCCTCATCAGAGATTATTTCTATTCCCTATTTCCCTTTCATAATAAAAATAATCTTTACATGGCAAGCTGCAAGAATCTAAATTGAATGTTTCTTTGCCCTCATTGACTTAATTGGTTCTCATAATACAAAGCTTACATAAACTCATCCATCGTATTTTTGAATCCTGCTAAAATGTGGTAGAAACAAAGAGTGAAAATCCTTTGAAGAGTTTTTAGACCAGTACAGGAGATTACATTTTCATACAGACAACTGCTACCCACAAATGCCATTAGACACACAAGTCAAGTCCCCACCTTATCTTCAGGGAATATGTTCTAAGACCCTCAAAAGATGCTTGAAATGACAGAAAACACCAAACCCTATATACACTATGTTTTTTCTTATACATACATACCTACAATAAAGTTTAATTTATAAATTGCACACAGTAAGAGATTAACAATAACTGATAATAAAATAGAACAATTATAACAATATGCTATAATACAAGCTCTGTGAATGTGGTCTCTCTGAAAATATCTTATTGTACTGTCTTCTCATGATGATGTGAGACAGTAAAATGCCTATATGATGAGATGAAGTGAGGTGAATGACATAGGCATTGTGACATGGTATCAGGCTACTACTGACCTTGATCACAAGCACTGCCATATGGTAGTAGTCGATCTGATAACTGAGTCCCCTACTAAGTGACTATCAGGTGGGGAGCATATACATATGGATACACTGCACAAAGGCATGATTCACATCCTTGGTGAGACAGAGGACAGCGTGTGATTCCATCATACTCCTCAGAATAACACACAATTTAAAACGTATCAATTGTTTATTTCTGTAATTTTGCATTTAATATTTTTGGACTGCAGTTAACTGCATGAAACTGAGACCTGGAAGCATAACCACGAATAAGGTAGGACTGCTGAAATATATTTCAGCAGGTTGAAGGATTCATGTACTCCTCTATTATGGTGATGTAACCATTTCCTCTAGGCACTACTCTGAATTACTATGTGAGTGAAGAATTGCTGCCAAGTAACACAACCCCCCTGCCAACAGTGGCCTAAACAAATTATATGTTGTGTTTTTTCTCACATTGTGAGATGTCCAGAGATAAGTACTTTCTGGTATTAGTTCAGGAGCTCGTAGATGTCGGTGATAAAGTCTCTTCATTCCTCTTAATACTTCTCTCAGAGTGTTTTTGTGGTCATAAGATGATGCTCCACATCTGGAACCAATCCATAATGAAGAAAGGCAAAAACATACACCCACTGAATCTGACCCCTTAGCAAGAAGCATTCCAAGAAGCCTCACTTCTACTTATAAATCATTGTCCACAACTGGGTTACATGGCCACTGTTATTGGCAAAAGGGACTGGAATTTCGTTTTGAATTGAATACATTGCTGCTTCCTCCACCCCAAATATCTGAATTTTCTGAGTATGAAAAGGAAAATGAACATTGAGTAGGATACATCATGTCTACATTTTTTTTACCTTTTCCTAAAATGCACTTTCTTTACATGCCACTTCTGTTAAGCCCTCTCATTAGCTCCATTATTCTCCCCTAACAAGATCAATATGCTTGCAGTATATGTGTGTGTGTGTGTGTGTACACTCATGTGCATGCACACATGTACACATGCATGTGTGAATGAGTTAGCCTCTGGTCCACAGTAACACAAAGTATATAATAAATAAAAAAAGAAAGAAATTTGGGAGAAGCTTATTTCTTTAAAGAAAACTACACCAATGGTATTTCATCTTTTAAATGTTTATGCACTATGGAAAGTAAATGATCTGCAATATATTCTCTCCCTTAATCTATGAAAGAAAAAAGATGATCCAGACTAATATTTAAAAATGCAAATGACAGACTTCTGATATGAAAACTAATGCTATTTGAAATTATTAGTAAAGTGTGATAGCAGCTAAAATTTTTAATTTGTCTTAGTCTGATTTGATAATCTGATTCTTTGTTTCTTATACTAAGATATGAAGAACACATTCACATTCAAAGATAACAAAGCTCTACAATTAGGTCAAAATTTTGAAATCATTGAAGATATCATAAGAGACAATTTCAAGGAAACCTATTAGTAAGATAAAAATTGTTCTGTGAGTTTTTAAGGAATGTTGATTACATGTCCAAAGAGAAGTATGGAATTAATAAAACTGGAGAAGTGTTAAATATGATGCTTATAATGGATACATTTAATATAGATTAAAAACTTTGTATTGAATAAAAAGTTGTATATCTTGACTTCAAATTGATTTATGCAAATCAATTCTCTAGTAATCGTTATAGCAGGAAGAGGTCTAAAGATCACCCACCCCTCAAAAAAAGTTTTTTAAGCCTCTGTTTATTCAATCAAACACTAAACCAGGCTCTGTTTTGAAAGGAGTTTGCAGATGTAATTAAAGTTCTAAGTCAGTTCATCTCAATATACAAAGATTATTTAAGAGAGAGAGATAATCTAACCACACAGGCCCTTTAAAAGCAGGAGTAAAAGACAGGAGAGGAGGTTAGACAAAATTAAAGCCTGAGAAAGACTCACCACATCACTACGAGTCTAAAGATGGAAGGTACACATGAGAAAGAATGCAAGCAACCTCTAGGAGCAGAGAGCAGTCCCCAGCTAACAGTCAGCAAAGAAACCAGAACCTCAGTCCTACAACCACAGGGAACTGATTCTACCCACAACCTTAATGATCTCAGAAGCAGATTCTTCTCCAGATCTCCTAGATAAGAGCCCATCCAACCAATACCTTGATTTCAGCCATAAAGAATCCTAGGCAGAAAGTTTAGCATGCTGGCCTTCTGATCTACAGAACTTTAAGCTAATAAATTTTTGTTGCTTTTAGTCATTTTATTTGTGGTAATTTGTTAGAAAGCAATAGAAAACTAATATCGATTTTGGTACCAGAAGTGGGGTGCTACTATAACTAATATACAAAATGTTGGAGTGTCTTTGGAATTAGTCAGTGTCAGAGGCCAAAAGAAGCTTGAGAATAACTTTTTAAGAATCCTGACAGATGAAGCCTAGATTTACTTTAACAAACTCCTAGTTAAACCATGAATGTTAAACATACTGCTTGAGAAGGCTTAGAATGAAGTGAAGAACATGTTATTGAAAATCAAGGAAAAGGGATCATAGTACTCTAGTGGCCAAAAGCTTGATAGAATTTTTTCCTGAATGTATGCAGAAAGCAGAACTTGTAGATGATAAAAGTTATTTATTTAGCTGAGGAGCTTTTCAAGCATAATATTAAAGGTGCTGCCCGGTTTTAACTTGCTGCTTATGGTAAAATATGAGAGGAAATAGATAAATTTATGGAAGAACTGTTAAACAAAAAGGAAACAGAACTTGATGGTTTGGGAAATTTTCAGCCTATTCTGACAGCAAAAGCTACTAAAATTAAGAAATTGATTTTGAAAGTGTAGCATAGAGAAAAAGCCATTTGTGTGGATAGGCAACACTTTGATCAAATCTTAAATCAAAAAGAATATTAAGTCACAAGAGATTAAAAATTTGCTTTATAGATCTTCTTAATCAAGTCAAATAGCTTCTAAGAAGATTAAAGGTGTTGTACCTCAGCCATTTCACCAAAAGCCAAAGATAGAAAAAAGATATCTCAAAATGATTTGTGGACTTGAGATCTGTCTAATGGGGTGAATCCTCATGTCATGGGAGACCCACAAGTATTTGAGATATCTATATCAGCAGAAATACTTATAACATGGGCTAAAGGGAAAAAAGATTACCAAATGAAAAGGGGTTGTTAGACCGCCATGACTTTACTGACAGAAAGTAGCCCAAGAGTGTGGAACCAAGAGCCCGGAGAGAATTTCTGAGAACCACAGAGAATTATTGGCCACAGGCTTTTCAACCTAAGAGAGTCTGCCCGGTGGGATTTCAAAATGCCTTTGGACTCTTGGCTCCCTTTTATTTTAAATTTTCTCCTATTTGAACAACCACTTTTACAATTATTATTCTGTTTTTGTCCCACCATTGTGTGATAGGAACAGATAAATGTTTATTTAATGTTACAGATCTGCAAATGGAATGGCATTGTGCCCAGGAACCTCATTCATGCTGATTTAGATTATTTCAATGATGATATTTTGAATTTTGAGCTGATGCTATAATGGAATGAGACTTTTGAGGACATTGGAATGGTATGAATGTATTTTACATGTGGAATAGACACAAATCTTTGTGGGAGCCAAAGGGTAGGCTGTGGTAGATACAAAAATGGTCCCTCAAAGATGTCCTGTTCTAATGCCCAGAGCATATGAATATGATAATATATCACTCCTGTGTTCATACAATTGTATAGCACAGTTGAGCTGAAGATAGGGACATCATATGGCTTGGCCTAATTTAATCACACGAGCCCTAACATAATCACAAAAGGAGATAACTTTTCTACCTGGTGGCAGAAGGGGATGTCAGAAGAAGGCATCAGTGTGCCATTGCTAAATTTGAAGATGGAGGGGGCATGAGCCAAGGAATGTGGGTAACCTCTAATGCTGAGAACAACCTCCAGCCAACTCCCAGCAAGGGAACAGGGCCCTCACTCCTACAACCACAAGGAAATGAATTCTGTTAACAACCTGAAGGAGCCTGGAAGTGGACTGCCTCCCATAGCCTCCAGATAAAAGCCCAGATTAGTCGCCCTCTTAATTTCAGCCTTTTGAGACCCTAGGCAGAGTACCCAGCTGAGTCTACTTGGATTTTTGACTTACATAACAGTGTAATAATAAATGAGCATTGTTTTAAGTCACTAAGTTTGTAGCAAATTGCTACACGATAATAGAAAACTAATATCATGTTGAGAAAAAAACAAAAAGCCTTTGCAAAGGCTTTGTCTTCTTTTAGAATGGCATCAGAAATCATCTCTATGGGAATGGTGTTCATTTTAAACGAAGTAACAGATATATTTTCTCTGGTCACTCCTTTTGGAAATCATTTGTTTGTGAATCTAGAAATAAAAATAAATCTTAATTATTTTCTTTCAAATTGAAATGCTTAAATTATAAAGCCAGTAATTTAAAATGAATGAACAGAGTTAGTAAAGCAAAGAAGGAATTTTGGCTTCTAAAGCTTTCAAATAATTAATTTAACAAAAATTTTTGAGCATCTACCATGTGCCAGCCTCTGTGTGTTAGAAGTGTAAAAATAGACCATGCTAATAGCTGTCCTCAAGAAGTTCAAAAGACCAATGAACAATAATCTTAATAATAATGGGCAGCACTTATTGGGTACAACTTACATGCTAGATGTTATGCTAAGAATTTATCTGCATTCTCCTTTTCCACAATTAATAAATAAGTCCACAATAAAGGACATGATAGAAGTACATACTAGATAACATTTATGACACAAAATAAACTAGCATGTACAAATGTTATGCATCAATAGAAATCAATAATAATAATAAAATAAACTAGTAAACATTGCTCATGAGAGAGACTGAGAAGACTTGAGCTGTTAAAGACTAAGGACTTACAAGACAGATAAAATAAAGATGAGCATTAAAAGCAGATGAAATAATGTGTATTAAGGCTTGAAGGCATGAAACAGTGAGGTTTATTTGGTAAATTTACAAGTACACTAGCTTGGTACAAGAAAAGAAGGTAACAGGAGAGATAGGCAAAAATCAGCCAATGGAAGAACTTATGTGCTAAGGAATTACAGACTGTGCTAGCTGTTCCAAAAATATTTTGACTTTGATTATAGGAATAGACTTTTTCTTTTCCACCTACTTCCAATTCTTGCATTTGAAGACATTGACCTACATTAAAGAGAAATGCATACAGTAAGGATATAAATTATTTTAGAAACCCAAATGAATACTGCTCAGTTAATTTCACATAGTCCCACCCACTTATTTTTAACCACTGGGTATAGTGGGACACAGGAGATTATACTACTTGCCAAAGTCCCATAAGTAGAAAGGTTCTTATTAAGAATCTGGGCTCAAGTGCTATGACTCTTACTCCAGGGATTTTTCCACTGGGCCTTCAAATATTTTAGTAGTTTTCACATAATGGCGTTTGAAAATTTTTTTAAAATTTCTTTAAAAGATTTGAAACCTAATTTTTAAAAATTAAGGTAAATCATTTAAGGCAAATGTTCAAAATGGGTTCTACTAGAAGTTTAATATAATACACATAATTATATAAGGTGGCCCACAATTATGTCCACAAAAGAAGAAAAAATAAAACAGATGAGAAGGAAGAGCATGGAAAACACTGATCTCAGTCTTTGGGAGGCAAACATTTTTGTTGGAAGCTTCCTTGCCGTACCAGGGTCCTCTATTCTGACAGAGTACTTTACATTTCTGCGTTATGCAAGAAGACAGACATTAATCTTCCTCACAAAATCCGAGGAAATTTTATTTAATTCTTAACAAGAACATTATGCCCAGGAACACCATGAAAGCAGATTGGACTCTTTTTCAGCCTGACACAGTAGAAAACTTGCCTTCTACAAATGAGCCTCTGGTAACTATTATAATCTCTAAACTCTTGCTCTTCACACACACACACACACACACACACACACACACACACACACCACTTAACATCACTGTACTAGTATACACAACCCTATAGCAATAATCTATATTCTTTAACAAATGAATCTTTCAATGTCTTCCTATTTGTTTTCCTACTCTTTCTAAAAATATATCGTTTTCTAAACACTGACAATCAGTCATAGCCTTGGACCATTCCAGATTCCTTGTCCCCGCCCCTATAATAATGTTGGTCTTGGAAGATAATATTCCAATGCCCAATGCCCTCATATCAAAAATATCAAGGGCAAAGTTTTCACATCAAGAAAAAAAAGTGTGTGTTTTTAGCTTTTCTGCATTCATCACAATACTTATGAACAGACTCAAGACAGAGGTGAATGCCAAGAAGTTATCTTTCTAAGGTAACAATTGTCATGCAAAAAGGCTTTTCACTAAATGAACAAAGACATTGATTCTTCAAATAAGGCATTTTAGACTTGGAGAAATTTTACTTCTTTATTTAGATAATTCATCTTCAGGTTTGAAAAAAGAAAGGAGGAGAAAATAACAACTTCATGCCACTAAATTTGAAATTGTGGGCAAAATGCCTTATAAAACCTGTTTTAAATTTAACTTTTATTTTAAGTTCAGGGGTACATGTGCAGGTTTGTTACATAGGTAAACTTATGTCGTGGAGGTCTGTTGTGCAGATTAGTTCATCACCCATGTATTAAGCCTAGTACCCATTAGTTATTTTTCCCGATCCTCTCCCTCTTCCCACCCTCCACCCTCTGATACACCCCAGTGTCTGCTGTTGCCCTCTATGTGTTCATGTGTTCCCATCATTTAACTCCCACTTATAAGTGAGGAGAAGGGGTATTTGGTTTTCTGTTCCTGCATTAGTATGCTAAGGATAATGGCCTCTAGCTCCATCTTTGTTCCTCCAAAGGGCATGATTTTATTCTTTTTTATGGCTGCATAGTATTTCATAGTGTATATGTACCACATTTTCTTTATCCAGTCTATCAGTGATGGGCACCTAGGTTTGATTCCATGTCTTTGCTATTGTGAATAGTGCTGCAGTGAACATACGTGTGCATGTAAAACTTAAATAGACCTAGCTATTAATGAAATTGAATCTACTCATTGTCAGAAATTATATTAGTGTTCAAAATTTTTTCAGTCTCTTATTATGATGCTCCATCCCTAAAGGAGGATTATATGTTCTCAGCCTGTTTAATCAGGTATGACTGTTGAACTTCCTTTGGTTAATGACATGTAAGCAGAAGAGATGTGTTCTCTACTCCAGGTAAAAACTTTAGAAGCCATCACACTAGTCATCATGAACTGACTACCCAGCCCTGTAGCTGGTACTGTAATAGACAAGGCCAGCTCCATCATCTTTTTTCCTGGCATTAGGTGATGGGAATAGAGCCACAGCTAACCCATAAGGGAGAAAAAGTGTAAGCAAAACATAAACCTTTCTTTAAAAGCCATTGAAATGTTAAGGTCATTTGTTGATACAGCCTGATCTAAACTATCCAAAAATAGGAGGAAATTTCCTGTTTGCCTACAGCAAAGATGACACTAGTGAAACTTTAGAAGTATACTCCCTGGGTTAAATCTAAGGATACTCACTATCAACAATACTATATAATATTGTATTACAGGTTCTAGTTAGTTCTTTAAGACAAGAATAAGAATATAGATGACAGATACACAGGTTTTTTATATTTATAGTATCTAAAAAATATAGAAATATGTATAAGAAGTAATAAAATAAAACTGACACTTTCCCAAGAGAACTGACAGCCAAATACTACAATTAATCAGAGACTTCAACAATGTTGCTGGATGCATGTTCTGCCTAAAAATCATCGCAGAACATCAATTACATTCCCATATGTCAGTAACAAACAGCTAGAAAATAAAACCTCTTAAATCTCCCATTTGTAATAGTAATAATAAGATATCAGAGATAAATCTAACAAAAGATATAAAGAAGAAATGATAAAATGTTATTGGAAAACATTGAAAACCTAAATAAATGGAGAGCTATACCTCCAAGTTAATCTATTAAATCATTCAGTTACAGTCAAATTCACAGAATGTCAATTCATTGAAGTTAACAAAACCAATTATCACATGTATAAAAATGAGGAAAGATCCAAGAATAGTAAGTAAAATATTGAGGAGAAAATAAGATTCGGAACAAATAAATATAATACTGAAGAAAAATAATAAGGTATGGATAATTGCTCTATTAATATCTTGGCTAGTTATAAAGTAAAAGCAATTGAGACAATGTGGTATTGGCACATTGGGAAGATTTAAGGAAGAAGAAGAGGAAGAGGGGGAGGAAGGTGAAAGGGGAGGAAAAGTAGGAGTAGGAGGAAGAAGGGGTGATCAGAAAAGATCCCAGAATCAGAGCCATGTACATATGAGAACTTGGGACATTCTGAAGATGAGATTATTATGCATAGGAAAATAACTTAGGTCTTCAGGATAGAAAGAATAAGCCTTTAAGGAAAAGATTGATACATCATATTATAATTTAAAACTAGGGTACATTGAAAAGCATTATAAAAGGAAGAGAGAGACAGAGAGGGAAGGAGGAAGGGAGAAAGACTGAGAAAGGACATTTGTCCTACATACAATCAGCAGAAAATTAGTAGCTAAAGTACATAATCATACATTGTTGCCCTTTTTGGGGCACCACTGACCCCATGCAGTCAAAAATCCACATGTAACTTTGGCTACATAAAAACTTAACGACTAATAGCCTGTTGTTGACTGGAAGCCTTCACCAATAGTATAAACAGTCAATTAACCCATATTTTGTGTGTTATATATATTATATACTGTATTCTTATAATAAAGCAAGCTAAAGAAAAAATGTTATTTAGAGAATCATAAGAAAGAGAAATATATTTATTCTTCATTAAATGAAAGGGGATTATTCCTACAGGTCTTCATCCTTGTCATCTTCGCATTGAGTAGGCTGAAGAGGAGAAATCAGAGGGGTTGGTTTTGCTGTCTCATGGATGACAGATAGGGAGAAGGCAGAAGCACAGGCAGGAAATGCAGGAACACTTGGTGTAGCTTTATGAAAAAAATCATAATTTCTGTCTCACTTTTTGCTTTTTCACTTTTCTAAAAATGTTTCCATATAGTACCAATCCTTCTTTCACCATTTCCTTTAGTTTCAGTGCCTGCATCATAGAAAGGTCCATGTTGTAAAAGAAGTAGATAGCAGTATTGAATAATTGGAACCCTTCTGCGAGATTGTGTAATATCAATTTATTTTACTGGCACTGCTTCTACGTCTTCCTCTTGGCACTGGTTCAAAAGCACTCATCTCCATCCAGTCATTTTCTCTTAATCCTCTGGTGTGTTGTCTATTAGCTTTTGGATTTTTCCAAGATTCATATCTTAAAACCCTTCACCACAACCCCTGCTCCCCCCACCTTTTTTGCCATATTTACAACCTTTTGCATGATCTCTTTGAGTGGCTCTGTTATAAATCAAGTGAAAGTGAAAGTATGCAGAACGTCTGCACAGTTTTCTCCAGCAGGAATTTATTGTTTCAACTTGATGGTTTTCCCAGCTTTTTCTATAACAATGATGGCATCTTCAGTGGGGTAATCCTTCCACACTTTCATGATGTTCTCTCTCTGGAGTTTCTCTCTTGACAATGTTTTTCTCCTGTTGACAATCTTTTCCATAGAATAGTGTATGTAATGAGCCTCAAAGGTCCTTATGGTGCCCTGAGCCAAAGGCTAAATTACAGATATTGTGTTTGGGGGCAAGTAGAGCACTTTAATGTCTTTGGGGTAGAAATGGAGGTCCCTGAATAGCAAGATACTTCCTGACGTCAGGAGCAAAGCACCAATGAAACCAATCGAGAAAAAGTGTACTTATTGTCCAGGCCTTCTTGTTGTATGATGAAAAGACTGCCAGCTGGTGGTTATTTTTTCCCTTCAAGGTTTAGAGGTTAGCAGCTTTATAAATAAGGGCAATCTTGATTAGAAAGCTGACTGCATTTCTATCAAAGAGTAGAGTTAGTCTATTTCTTCCTACCTTAAATCCTGGCTCTTGCTTCTCTTCCTTACTAATAAATGTCCCTTGTGGCATTCTTTTCCAGAATAGGGCACTTTCGTCTGCATTATAAACTTGTTCAAGTAGACATCTTTTCTCCTCAATGATTTTCTTAATAGCACTTGGAAACTTGTATACTATCTCTTGGTCAGAAGAAGCTACTTCTTTTGCTATCTTGATATTTTTTAAGCCAAATCTCTTTCTAAAATTGTCAAGCCATCCTTTGCTGTCATTAAATTATCCAGCTTTAGATACTTCCCCTTCATTATTCTTTAAGATATCATATAATGACTTTGCTTTTTCTTAGTCATATTGGAGGCTATAGGTATGCCTTTCTTGTAAGAATCCTGCACCCACAAAAAGCAGTATTTTCAATAACAGATAAAGAGGTATTTCACCAAAAGTGCAAGATTTTTACACATGCTTGACTAGCTGAAGCAATAGTTTCACAAATTTCTTTTTCTTTTCTTTTCAATGCTCCTTAGGCTGGATTTCTTTTTCTTGAAATGGAGGTCAACCACAGCTGCAAACCAAATCTATGGTAGATATCAAGCAATTCAACTTTTTTTTCTAATGTCATCACTTTTCTCTGCTCCTTAGTAGCACTTTCAGCATCACTAGTGGCATTTCGTATGGGCCCCATGGTGTTATTATTGAAAGTTTATGTTATTGCACTCAACATAGTGAAAAATATGCACAAACAACAAGAAATCACTTTTTACCATGATATGCAATTTACTGGAGGGACAAACTGCTCACATGAAGAGGTTTCAAGTGGATACTCACAAAACATAAGCTCATGCAATAGGAAGAGTAGATGGCTATGAAATTGTTACAGCAGTACAGTATGTACTAAAATTTATTTTATGCAGTTATGATTTAATACTGCCTCTTTACATTTGTTTATATTTCTCTTGACTGTGAATGATACCATGTACAGTCTGTAAGTATGTGCATAAGTTTAGATAAATTTCAACTTTTTTTATGTCTTAGGTCTTCTTTTTTTAATTTTATTATTATTATACTTTAAGTTTTAGGGTACATGTGCGCAATGTGCAGATTTGTTACATATGTATACATGTGACATGTTGGTGTGCTGCACCCATTAACTCGTCATTTAGCATTAGGTATATCTCCTAATGCTATCCCTCCCGCCTCCCCCCACCCCACAACAGTCCCTGGAGTGTGATGTTCCCCTTCCTGTGTCCATGTGTTCTCACTGTTCAATTCCCACCTATGAGTGAGAACATGCGGTGTTTGGTTTTTTGTCCTTGCGATAGTTTGCTGAGAATGATGGTTTCCAGTTTCATAATGTCCCTACAAAGGACATGAACTCTTCATTTTTTATGGCTGCATTGTATTCCATGGTGTATATGTGCCGCATTTTCTTAATCCAGTCTATCGTTGTTGGACATTTGGGTTGGTTCCAAGTCTTTGCTATTGTGAATAGTGCCGCAATAAACATACGTGTGCATGTGTCTTTATAGCAGCATGATTTATTATCCTTTGGGTATATACCCAGTAATGGGCTGACTGGGTCAAATGGTATTTCTAGTTCTAGATCCCTGAGGAATTTGCCACACTGACTTCCACAATGGTTGAACTAGTTTACAGTCCCACCAACAGTGTAAAACTGTTCCTATTTCTCCACATCCTCTCCAGCACCTGTTGTTTCTTGACTTTTTAATGATCGCCATTCTAACTGGTGTGAGATGGTATCTCATTGTGGTTTTGATTTGCACTTCTCTGATGGCCAGTGATGATGAGCATTTTTTCATGTGGTTTTTGACTGCATAAATGTCTTCTTTTGAGAAGTGTCTGTTCACACCCTTCGCCCACTTTTTGATGGGGTTGTTTGTTTTTTTCTTGTAAACTTGTTGGGGTTCATTGTAGATTCTACCCACAGCCAATATCATACTGAATGGGCAAAAACTGGAAGCATTCCCTTTGAAAACTGGCACAAGACAGGGACGCCCTCTCTCACCACTCCTATTCAACATAGTGTTGGAAGTTCTGGCCAGTGCAATTAGGCAGGAGAAGGAAATAAAGGGCATTCAATTAGGAAAAGAGGAAGTCAAATTGTCCCTGTTTGCAGATGACTTGATTGTATATCTAGAAAACCCCATTGTCTCAGCCCAAAATCTCCTTAAGCTGATAAGCAACTTCAGCAAAGTCTCAGGATACAAAATCAAGGTACAAAAATCGCAAGTATTCTTATGCACCAATAACAGACAAACAGAGAGCCAAATCATGAGTGAACTCCCATTCACAATTGCTTCAAAGAGAAAAAAATACCTAGGAATCCAACTTGCAAGGGATGTGAAGGACCTCTTCAAGGAGAACTACAAACCACTGCTCAATGAAATAAAAGAGGATACAAACAAATGGAAGAACATTCCATGCTCATGGGTAGGAAGAATCAATATTGTGAAAATGACCATACTGCCCAAGGTAATTTATAGATTCAATGCCATCCCCATCAAGCTACCAATGACTTTCTTCACAGAATTGGAAAAAACTACTTTAAAGTTCATATGTAACCAAAAAAGAGCCCGCATTGCCAAGTCAATCCTAGGCCATAACAAAGCTGGAGGCATCACACTACCTGACTTCAAACTATACTACAAGGCTACAGTAACCAAAACAGCATGGTACTGGTACCAAAACAGAGATATAGACCAATGGAACAGAACAGAGCCCTCAGAAATAATGCCGCATATCTACAACCATCTGATCTTTGACAAACCTGACAAAAACAAGCAATGGGGAAAGGATTCCCTATTTAATAAATGGTGCTGGGAAAACTGGCTAGCCATATGTAGAAAGCTGAAACTGGATCCCTTCCTTACACCTTATACAAAAATTAATTCAAGATGGATTAGAGACTTAAATGTTAGACCTTAAACCATAAAAACCCTAGAAGAAAACCTAGGCAATACCATTTAGGACATAGGCATGGGCAAGGACTTCATGTCTAAAACACCAAAAGCAATGGCAACAAAAGCCAAAATTGACAAATGGGATCTAATTAAACTAAAGAGCTTCTGCACAGCAAAAGAAACTACCATCAGAGTGAACAGGCAACCTACAAAATGGGAGAAAATTTTCACAACCTACTCATCTGACAAAGGACTAATATCCAATTTTCAACTTTTTATAATAAATTTATGTATATCTTGTGGTACCATATGATAAAATAGACTAGCATCCACATGTATTTTTTGTATTCATCACATACCTAATTTTTTTCTTAATTTCTTTTTCAATATTTCTAGGCTATACAGTCTATCTATGAGGTTTTTTCAAATTGTCACAAATCTTCAAAAATTTTTTCCAATGTATTTATTTTTTAAAATTTGTTTATAAATGGACCCACACAATTGAGAACCATCTTGTTCAAGGGTCAACTGTATAATCGATTAAACCAGCACAAGGCTGGGTGCAGTGGCTCACACTTGTAATCCCAGGACTTTGGGAGGCCGAAGCAGGTAGATCGCTTGAGTCCAGGAATTCGAGGCCAGCCTGGGCAACACAGCGAGAGTCTGTCTCTACAAAAAATACAAAAATTAGCCAGGTGTGGTGGTGTGCTACTCGGGAGCCTGATGTGAGAGAATCGCTTGAGTTGGAGGCAGAGGTTGCACTGAGCGGAGATCACGCCACTGCACTCAAGCCTGGAAGACAGAGTGAGAACTTGTCTCCAAAAAAAAAAAAAAAAAAAGTACAACTCAATAAAAATGAGCAAATACTAAAAAATAATTCCTAGGGGAAAATGGCTAATAAACATATAGGAATATGAGAAAGCATTAGTAATCAGTGAAACACAAAAGTAAATGAGATGCAATTTCAACCCTTCAAATTGGCAAAAGTTTAAAAGCCTGACAATATGGAGCAATGAGAGATCTTGTGTATTGCTGGGAGGGTAAAATTGTACAATTGCTCTGCAGAACGATTTGATCTTATCTAGTGAGGTGAAGATACGCATCTTCTGCAATCCACCAATTCTACTCCTCAGTACATACCCTAAAAAATTCTCACACGGACCACCATGAGACATACACAAGAATCATGGCACTATTGTTAATATCAGTGAGTGATTCATCTATAAAATGGAGATAAGATTAATACCTACTTCATAGAATTGTTGCAAGAAATAAATGAGTTAAGACATGTAAATTCTTAAAACAGTACCTAAAACTGTGTGTGTAACAAGTGTTAGCAATCATTAATAAATCTATTTTTAGGGATCCCCTTACATTATTTTGATTCCCAGCTTTTACTGCACTATGCTGAAAGGTTGGGGTATTTTCCTTTGCAAGCTTCCTTCTTTTCATAACTGCCGACCTTGCTTAATGGTTTGTTCCTTAGGTCCCAGACAAGTCCGCTTGCTGTGTAATGAAACTGCAGGCAGCCCTGCTGTGATCTGGGTGGGGCTTGCTCACCCTCTCAGGTCATGTTTTTTGCTAAACCTTTTCTCCGGAGGTGAGCTGGGCAACCATCTCATCTTACATTCTCCCCAGTAAGGTCTGCCAAAGTTCTTCCAACTATTTTGGTCTATCAGATCAACAGACGCTGAATCCAGCCAATAGGCCTTTCAACTCTGCACCTTAAGAGGATGTTTAATTGTATGTAAATGTAAAAGGGAAGAGAAAAGGAAGAAAAGAAAGGAGGAAGACAAGGGAAGAAAAGGAGGAGAGAAGAAAAGAGAAATTGAAAGAAGAGATTTCAAATATTTCTCAAAAAAGGAAAAACTACATATAATTAACAACGTAGAGAAAAGCTTTTGGCAATCTTGCCCTAAATTTAGACATGAGTAAATTTTGCCTTCCACCCTCACTTTCAGCTCTTTTATAATCTCCCTCTCTTTGAGTAACTACTGTCATCACCCCAGAATCATATCTTCAAACTCTTAATTTGATAAACAAATCTATATTAAGTATTAATGGGTGCTAACATAATAACGTCTCATACTTTCTGAGAACATATTGACATTTTTAAATTACATCCTAAAATAAATACAATCTATTCACCAGGATTCTCTAGAAGTCTATTTCTCCAATGTTGTATGTTTTAGTCATTCTAGCCATTTAGTGTAGGAGAAATTCTGGGAGAGCAGACTTTCAGGAATCTATCAAACTGCATTAAATATCTGGTTCATTGACCAACATAGGTGAGGCTGGCTCTGCAAGTGCTCTCCATCTCACCCCCTACCTCTTTCACATTATAATCACTGGAAGAAATTAGCTTAATTTGAGCATAAAAGATGTATACTCTTCTTATTAGTAACCAGTGTATTTATTTAAATAAATATTTATAAAGCATCATAATGAGCCAGGAAAATATTAATCTACTTCTTCAAAAATCATTATTTGATTTCTGCTTTATTCTTCCTTTAACTATACCTTTCCTCTTATACTAAGACTTGCTTACAATAAAGTTATGAGGAGAGGGACCATATTCTGAGGGAAGGAGTTGGCAAGACCCAGGCTATAGCAGTGAACTTGGAAACAACCTAGGATTCAGTGAAGTTCTGACACAGCCCTTCAAAACAAACCAAGCCTCCCAAATGGAGATGTTCTCTGTAGAGTTCTATTTTCTACAAAAGTGAAGAATTTTATATTCTGTTTTTAATAGGGGAGGTCACTTGCTGAAAGGACATGTGTACACCTTTTGTGACAAGCTTATACATGTCTCTAGGGATATTACTGCGACACAGGTTTTGTGATCTCAAGCAAAATACTACCACAGTATGCCCATGACTAAGTCGTGATTTAAAATTAAGCCTTATTCAAAATGTCAAAAGGAGGAAAACTGCATACAGAATTAATCAGAGGTCATTTATGCAGAGCTTATACTGGTAAGAAAGCCAGCTACTGTCACTTTGGTTCTGGTAAACTAAAAAGGGTTGGAAAGGAGAGGGCGTTTTGTGGAGTGAATGGAGGAAGTCTTAAGAAAGTCTTTGACTGGTGACTGTTCTGTTGAGGTGGAATTTTTTATGAGGTAGGATTTGGGGAAGGACTTGTGGGGAGGCTTTCTGATTGGCTTTGGCAGTCTTTGGCTCGCTGGCTATTTGTGCACAACTTAAAGCTCTCTAGGCTAGTTAGGGTGATACGGGTTTTACTGTTTCAACTTAAAAAATATCTAGCCCTTGACTTTGGGGTCCAAAATTTGAATAAGCAATTTATAAAACTAAACTATTTTCCAGTAAATTCACTTGAATTGATTTTGCATTTACCTTTATTGCTTCATATGTCCCATATAACATAAAAATGTTGAGTATAAAATGAAATGAAAAATAGTTCAGTGAAATAATAAGATTTGGTTTAATTATTTTTTACTTCATAAGGCCACTGAAATGTTTTGATAAATAGATATAGTTCATCATTTTCTGTACAATGCATGGCTTTTGAAAATAATAATGATCCCAGGATCTGGACCCCTTATTTGATGGTCTCTATTCTTTACCAAGTCCTTATTTTTTTTTGTTTCTTTGCTCTTTGGAGACAATATTCCCTGGGTGTTTTTCTTTTTTTCTCGCTTTTGTATATCAACAAAGGGCAAAATAATAATTTGTTTTGCTCTTTCTGAAATTATATTTTTAAATGAATTTAAATTTCTAAAAATGAATGTTCTTTCCAACACATTGGAGTGACCAGTAATCTTCCCTGCTTTTTATTAAGAAGACTGTTGCAATTTCCTTTTTCTTTGTCTACTGGCATCAAATAATCTAATTGTCTATTGCATTTTGGTCACAGTGCCTTCTTTATGCCCTTCGGCTAAGTCTCTTTCCATGACCATTCTAAACCTTTTAACTTTATACATTTGTAAATGCTGAATTATGCCTGCTTTTCATCATAAGTCAATTTCTCCTACACTCCTCAATTATCCCCAGATTCCTACTTTGAACATTTCCCAATTGGATTCCACAAAAGTAGTAAAGCTGGTCTAGATTTGCCTGTTAATCCTAGCAGAGACATCCAGTTAGTGAGTTTCTGTTCCAAACATGACCATTTGCTAAGTACTTTTTATGTACTTTCTCATCCAATATTCTCAATAATTCTGCATTAGGAATTTTACTAATAAGGGAACAGGTTCAGTGAGTTTAGAAACTAGAAACTTACATGTGATCACACAGTTAATAAATGGGAAGCCAGTGCCTGATCAATCAGATGCCAAAGTTTATGTTCTTCCTTAAACATTCATTAAAAGATGCCTGAGAAACGTCTACACCAGAATTACCTGGAATATTTTATTAAAATATTAAAATATAGACTATGAGGCTCTTCTTAGGCTTCTGAATTAGTATCTATGGGGACAAGGACCAGAAATATACACTTTTAATAAGCCCCCAAAATGATTCTTATGCATACTAAAGTTTGAGAATCACTCAACTACAAGGCCCACATTTTATGGATTCCTCTTTGGGTCTCCATCACCAGGGACAGTATCTGGCTAATCAATAATAAGTGCTTGATGAACTAAAATGAACTAATCCTACCATAAGGAAAATGTATTGCTATTGATATAATGCCTTTGGCTCTTTAAAAAAGGTTTATAAACAGATGCTGGCAAGGCTGCGGAGAAAAGGAAATATTTATACATTATTGGCGAAATGTATATTGGTTCAGCCACTGTGGAAAGCAGTTTGGGGATTTCTCAAAGAATTACCATTAAAACATTAAAAAAGAACTACCATTCAACCCAGCAATCCCCATACTGGGTATATACCCAAAGGAAAATAGATCATTATACCAAAAAAAATGTGCAAAAAAAAGATTGCAGCATTATTCACCACAGCAAAGACAGGGAGTCAACCTAGGTACCCATCAACAGTGGGATGGATTAAGAAAATGTGGTACATATACACTATGGAATACTATACAGCCATAAAAAGAACAAAATCATGTCCTTTGCAGCAACACAGATGGAGCTGGAGGCCTTCATCATAAGCAAGTTAATCCAGGAATAGGAAACCAAATACCACATGTTTTCACTTATAAGTAGGAACGAAACATTAGGTACTCATGGGCGTAAAGATGGCAAAAATAGACACTGGGGACCACTAGAGGCAGGAGAGAGGGAGGGGACAAGTTGATTAACTAACTATTGGGTAGTATGCTCCCTACCTGGGTGACAGCGTCATTCACACTCCAAACCTCAGCTTCACCCAATATACCCGTGTAACAAACCTGCACATGTACCCCCAAAAATCTAAATTAAAGTTGAAAATATTTTTAAGAAACAAAGAAGAAGATTGTATATGAAAACAACTTGATAAATTAGTATTTTTACTTTGGAGTCATGTACTCCTAACACTGGTATTATGACAACTTGGCAAGAGGCACCCTCATTTGGTACACACCATAATAAGGTCATTGCACAAAGGCCTCTGTTTCTGAGAGAACTGATGGAGAGAATGTCTCAAGACTGTCCATGATTAAAAAGATCTAAGCCTCAAAATGTAGATTTTAAAAAAATATTGCCTGAAATATCGTGTTCTAGTTAATGATAAGAGTTGTTTAAAGCTAACTTCCAGCATCCTGTGGTAGCACTGGCCACCAGTTCTGTAATCTAATAATATGATTGTTAAAAAGGTTTACTATGAACCATTATCTGAAACAATCATCTGCTAAAAAGAGACATAATTAATCATGTGTGTAAATAAAATCACTGGTAACCAACAACAGCCTTTGGTTTAAAGTAGTGGGAGAACTAATGGCTATAAAGGCAAAATTATAAAATAATTCTTTTTTACTGGCAAGAAAAACATGAGGTTATATACTTTGTGGCATCAAGAGGCTGTATATGTGTTTCTCTTTAACCTTCTGACTTATGGTAAATAGGAAGTACTAAGACGATTTTCAAGGTAAAGGTAAAATCCTTTCTAGATAATTATGACTGCTAGAAAAATTAAACTGAATGAACTCTAAAAATTCTAAAAATCCCAGCTATGTTTATTTGCTGAGTATCCTGCTGGCTGGGTTTTGTGAGGGGTGAGAAGTTGGTAGATATATCTAGATATACATATCTAGATATAGATAGACATACATATATATATTCCTTCCATAGCCTTTTTCTGTTTTAGGACAAAGACAGGAGATGGTAAAGAGAGATAAAAGAGTCTTTGTAGGCAGGATGATGACTTCTGGGTGAGAAACACCGTGGTATAAGCAAGAAGTACTCATTGACAACATGGGCTTCCCTTAGTCCCTACTTTGGGGAAATCATAGCCCTTTTCCTCAAGTACAGCCCCTACATAGATGGCCAACAGTAATCAGTATTCCCCTTGAAGGGAATTTCTGCTTTTAGACATTTTTCTATGCCAGTTAAATTTCTACTCTTCCTTGTTTGTACATGAAGAGACTGCAATATGCTGAACCCTCTTTCTCCTTACCTCTTTTTTAGGAGCATAATATATGAAAGAGTGCACTGCAATAATCATTTATGTAAGTCTCTTTCCAAACTATTATCCAAAATGTGATTCTACTTGGAATTTAAATCATCTTATTTTCATCTCATATCTAATTGGCTACAATAATCATATAACTTACTAAATTATGCTCATAGAGTTTATATTGTATTAGAATATTCTAATACAATATTCTAATATTGTATTAGATTATTGGTTTAGATTATTCAAGTTTATCTGAAACTTTTAATCGGTGAAGACAGTTCTATCATTCTCTTGAATTTTCACAAGAGTTACTCACAGAACTCTCTCAAGGTTTACGTGGATATTTTCCCATTGTTCCCTTTCCTTCCTCATCAGATCCCGGGCCATATGTGGCTCTGTAAGGGATTTTTTCCCCCATTACTTCCTCACAGGGGGATCAGAGGCTGCATGCAACCTGTATTACCTGCTCCTCTGGGCCTGTCCATGATTACATCTTCTTGTGCTATAGTCATTGGCAGCTGCTCTGCTGATTCTTTTCCTTGCTTTTCTTAGTTTTTAAAATTTTTTATTTTTATAGATTTAGGGGATATACGTGCAGTTTTGTTACATGGATATCTTGCACAGTGGTAAAGTCTGAGCTTTTAGTGTACCCATCACCCAAATCTTGTGCATTGTAACCCATTAGGTAAATTCTCATCCCTCACACCTCTCTCTCGCTCCCATTCTGCTTCCCTTACTAACAGCCAAGAATCCTCTCGCTCTTAAGGTAATTTGGTCTGAGTCTGTTGCCCTTGGATGATGCACAATGAAAGTGCTGAGTTCTGAGAGAGAAGCAGTGAAGTGGCCTGAGGCCAAACAATCCCCAGAACTGAGGGCAAACCTGTGGGAAAAGTTTTTCAAAGTTCAAGATTTCAGGGCAAGACCTATCAGATATATATGATATAACTGACACATACAAAAATGTAGTAAGTGTAGTGCTAAGGAATGTATAAATAGAGAGATCAGAGTAATAGAAAAACCCAAAACAGATCTCAACCACAACAGAGAAGGCATCATAAAACATACACTAAGGAGAGAGAGAGAGCTGAGATACTTGGGTTTTGAAAAATACACAATTTAGATACTTAATAAGTACAAATTATACATAGATCAAAGAATTATATTTAGTAAGTCAATATACACTTATTTAATCTTTTAAGAGAGTTTTCTAAAATAAAATAAATATAAATAAAACAAAAATTTGAAAATTTTTAATAACACATTTTAAACTTTGCAACATTAATAAATAAAAATGCAAAAACTGAACAAAATCTGAACAAAATTTTAAAAATACTTTGCAAATACAAAAAAAGCTCATACTTACATAAGAAAAACACTGAATCCACATTGATAAATGAACAAGGATAATGGATGGACAATTTTTAAAGAAGAATTGCAAATAGTAAACATTTCAAAAAATGTTCAACTGTATTAAGAAAAATGTAAAATTAGTAAAAATGTGATGCTACATTATTTTAATTCACCAAATAGGCGATAAAGATAATAGTCAATATTTGCAAGAGCTTAACAATATGAACACTCTCACACACTTCTGTTGAGAATGACAACTGGTAGAGCCTTTCAGAAAAAACCTTGGCAACGTACTTCAAAAGCCAGTGTTTCTACATCTAAAAATATAGAATAAGGAATAAATAAAAGGCCAATATTTATGAACAAAAAGTTTCATACAGTATTATAACAAAATAACAAATAATGGAAACAAAAGTCTAACATTAACCAGATGATTGAATACATCGTATAATGGAATATAATATAGCCAATAAAATTATGTTTAAGTTCAGATGCCATGGCTCAAGACTGTAATCCCAGCATTTTGGGAAGTGGAAGTGGGAGGACCACTTCAGGCTAGGAATTTGAGATTAGTCTTGTCAACAGAGTGGGACCCTCTCTCTACAAAAGATTTAAAAATTAGCCAGGCATGGTGGTGCATGCCTGTAATCCTAGCTACTCAGGAGGCTAATGTGGGTGCATTGCTTGAGACCAGGAGTTCAAGGCTGCAGTGAGCCATGAGGTTGCAACTGCCTCCAGCCTGGGTTTAAGAGGGTGACCTTGTCTCTAAAAAATAAATAAATAAATAAATAAAATTGTATTATGTTAAAAGAACTTAAATGAAATGCTAATATTAATATTATAGCATTATAGCGTACATTGAGAAAAAAGTCACAAAATTGGTTGTAAAATAAGACCTGAATTTTATTTTTAAAGTTGAAAGGAAGTAAGCCAATATGTTAACCAGCCATTTTTAGACAGTGGACTTATGTGTCATTTATTTTTCTGTGATTATTTATCCTATTAGTATATTCCACATTTTTCTATTTTAAAAATATAAGACAAAAGATCAGAACACACTACTTTTTAGAAGATAAAGAATAATATTATTGAAAAAGTAAGGTAGAGATTTAGCTTAGTTGATTTTAGAAATCTAACAGTGACAGATGTATAAAATATTTCAGACATAGAATGTAAAAGTCACACATCAGATACATTGGGATTATTGACTATGTGGAGACAGGAGAAGGGAATGGGAATAAAAGGGAATCAAAAATATGAATAAATAAAATATGAAAACAAACTGTTCTAATAAAGTCATAAAATGGCTTCTTTCAATCATTAGTAAATATGTCCCAGGCTTGATTGAGACAAACAAAATTATGATGTTAAGATTGTGTGTATGTTTTGGTTTTGTTATTTATTTCTGAAAAGTTAATATCTACTTTTTAAAGTTAAGCCTGCAAACTTCACATAATGAAGAAAAAGACAATGCCATATTCCATTTGCAGCATGAAAGAGTTTCCAGACTGTTTTCTGCCATGATATTTTTATTCACCTTCTTCCCATTGTTAATGTTAAACCACAGCAGATCTCCTTATGCAACTCAATGAAATGTTGAGTCACTTCAAAAAAACAAAAATGGGTCTAAAATATTATTGTTTTTATATAAATTTATCAGAGAATTTTAAAGTTCTACCAACTCTAAATTTGCATACAATGGTTCTTCCAGTTGAAGGATATATCCACTATGGAAATTATTTCAGAATACTGAGGGCTATTTTGGTCTGTATGGATTGAGTAGAAATAGTAATGAAGTTAGCATCCTTTCATTTTAAAATAAAGAGTTGTCTTTTTTATTGCTTTATTCCTAGGTGGAAGTACTACATAAATGGCACCTACTTCCAGAAGAATTAATCATGTTCATCTTGCAAGTACTAAAAGGCTCTTTCTGAGTTTTGTTTATCAATCACATATTTAAAGTTACACATTGAATGGTAGGATAAATGTATGAACCCTAAAACACCCTTGAATAGTTTAAATTTCATCAGACCTAAATATATATATGTGTGTGTGTGTACACATATATATGTGTGCATATATACACACATATATACACATATGTATATATATACATATGCATTCCAGAATTTACAATTCTCTTTTATCTTTGCTAGTAACACTCTTTCTCATAATTCACTAGAAAAGGTTCTCATGGGAAAACAGTCACATAAACATGATGCTATAACTACCAAGAGAAATAGGACATGTTGAATGTCATTCAGTCCACTGCATCATTTTCATTCATCTCACATTTCATTTGGACTCTGGGTCTTCGTGCTGGTCTTCACAGTCTCCAAAAACATGTTTAGCTGTGTAAACTAAAAGTCCAAACCAATGAATATTGAGCTACAGGCTTTGGTAGGAATTTGTGCTATATACAAATTAGGAAACTAGATAATAATGTTTGACATGAAAACAACTCAAAACAAAAGTTTAAAAACACAGCAATAAACTAACTATTTGGAAATAGAATACTGCTCTAGGGTAGGCATTAAATTTACCCAGAATAATTTATGCCAGGTAAGAAGTAAAGAATGTTAATTTTATTATTTTTTTTCTAGGACGGTATAGTCTGGTTAATTTGCTGTCTTTATTGGAAATACTACTTTAAAGACTGTCTTAGATACTGATTTTTGGTACTACATGCTCATTTACTCTTATTTTCTCCACTAAAATGTATTCCTGGTGAGGTGCGTTGGCTCACGCCTGTAATCCCAACACTTTGGGAGTCCGAGGCAGGAGGATTGCTTGAGCCCAGGAGTTTGAGACCAGCCTCAGCAATGTATTGAGACTCCTTCTCTACAAAACTAAAAAAAAAAAAAAAATGCTGGTCATGGTGGTGTGCGCTTGTAGTCCCAGCTACTCAGGAAGCCTCAGGTGGGAAGATCACTGTAGCCAAGGAGGTAGAGGTAGAGGCTGCAGTGAGCCATGATTGTGCCTCTGCATTCTAGCCTGGGCCACAGAGTAAGACTCTATCTCAAAATAAATATATTAATTAATTAAAATTAAAAACTTTTCAAAGTATGCCTGGGACTTATATTTTTTCCCCTTGTACATTTAGCTGCAACAAATATCTCCTAAGTCCCCTCTGAGTAAATCAGTTACTAAGAAAATGTTTTGTTTTGTTTTTAATCCTTTAGATGCTCTCTGTTGTCTATAGAAGTTCAAACTCTTCCAATCTGACACTTAAGGCCCTGAACAGGATGGTTCAAACCAAGCCTTCCCAGTCTTCTACTTTCCTACATCTTTTCACTCACATGAAAAAAAAAAAAGCCTCACTTATTTTACTGTCCCTGCCCACGTTCAGGTCTGGGTCATCCAGCAACAGGTGATTGGCTTGGCAGTCTGGGTGAAAGCTGATAGAATAAATGGCAGGAAGAAAACACAATAGACAGATTCTGTCTGTTTCAGAAAGTAGAAAGCACTTAGGTTTCTTTCTCGGGATATCCTAAGATACAGAAACAAAGACTTTGAAGAAAGAGGAGAGGGAAAACTGAAAAACGATACCACTGTCTTGTACTATTATCTGAATGCCTCAGTTTAATGTATGTCGTAATCTCCTTAGAGTAAGAACATTTTTATTATCTTTTCTTTATATGCACACATTTATATACCACATGATAGGCACTTAATATTCGTTGGATGAATAACCATCAATTTTTCCTTGTCATTTTATTAATATCTCCTTTTGTTTAAAAAAGTCTATGAATGTTCACATTTACAATTAAATGTTTATGACAATTCAAATGGCAAAAATTAAGAATTCTAATAATATCAAATGTTGGAGAGGATAAGGATCAACCTAACACTTACATAACATGAGGAACAGGGAAAATTGGAACAATTTGGAAAATAGTTTGGCATTACATTACATTGTAAAGCAGAACTTGTGCATATCCAATAACCCAGGACTTCTGCTCCTACAGAAATTATATATACGCTAGAGAAACTCTTTCACATCTGCTCCAAAATGAGGGCTGAATATATATATTCAGTTTTAATACATACACAAGCACACACACATACACAACTTGGAGGTCCTGTCTTAGAGAGCTAGCAATGTTCATAACTAATAGCAACATGTAATAGTGGGAGATTGATTAAGGATTATAATGAATTTACAAGATTCATTACTCGTTTTTATTTCATTAACTTTTCTTCCCCTTCAAAGTATTCTGAACAATAAACTTAGTATGTCCAACATATGGGAAAAATTAGACAGAAAATTCTTATATTTCATATTGTCATGCACAGAACAATCTCTTTGTTTAAGCAGATCACTGGCTTTGTCCCCAAATTTACTAGGGACAATTGGGGGTGGAGGGAGTTATAACAAACATCAATTCAAGTGTTTTTGTTTAGTTTTGCTACATTTTTGCAGCAATTTGGTAACTTTTTCAGAACTTTGTTTAATTGTGATACAAACTTTGATTCAATATGAAGGTCACTAGAAACTGCAATGTTCCTAGAAAACACATGCAACCTGATATTTTCTGCCTCCTTTCAAGAGATTTTGTCAATTAAGCTAAAATGTCTATTTCCTTCGCTCTTTGAGTGTCTTAGCACATGAACTATCATACCTGCCAGCATCTCTTTCTGAATCCACACATCCCCCTTAGGAAATCATCCTATTCAAGAGGTAATGTTTACATTATCATATCACATCACATCAAAAGTAAAGCTATGTCTTTGAATAACAGTATAACACCTCTAATGGCAATAATTCTCATATTTATAAATTTAAAATATCAATTTTTATTATAACTTCTGTGTCCCCACATTTGTGGTGACCTGTCTTATAGTTTTTCTGTTCCTAAAAGTGAGAGATATGAGTGAGTGACTGAGCCAAATGTTATCCAACAATATAATCTACTGGAATTATTAAACGTTAAAGAAAATCCAAATAAAATTCTGCTTCATTAGCATCTTTAAGTTCTTTACTTATTCACTGTAAATAGCAATCAATAAGAGAATTGGATTGCAGAGAAAGTTAGCAACTAGGAGTTAACGATACATTTCTAAATCTTCTAAATATCTTGAAAAGTCCTGTTTTTTCCAATTTGTCATGTGTTGGTTCCTTCATCTTCTGTCACTTTGTCTCATTTGACTTGACAGAAGCAAAATAAAGGGACATTTACTCCACGGAAGTTAATAAATGCAAAGTCAATAAATATTTCCTAAATAATAGATTAAAAACAAAAATCTGCTGCCTAGGCCCTAACATGCTTGAGACTGAGAAGTTTCTTTAAGAAATTCCTTTATGCCATAAAGACTGCTTTCCCCAGCATCCCTGACCAATGATCATTTAGCCTTTCGTAATAGGATGCATCCCCACCAAGAGAGTCCATTTCATCATTAGACATTCCTGCTGGTCAGAAAATGCTTATGTTAAACTACAATTTACCACTTTGTAGCTTTCCTACGTTTGCTCTGTATCAGCCTATTAGAACAACAAGCTTGTCCTTAAGATTGCATAAGGGTTTCTAAATAAGGTCTATTTTACATGTCCCCTTTTACTTCTTTATTCCACTATAACATCCCCAGAAGACACAGTTTCCAGTTTTTTTCCAAGTGTTTTCAGGCTTTTTTCCTGCATAGCATTTTGTCAATATAACTTTAAAAATATGGCACCAAGAAGCAAATGTAATATTTTGGATGTGAACCATCTTAAACTTTAGACTTCTATTACTGCAATCTGACATAATTATGTCTTTCATATAATTCAACAATTATTCATTCAGCTAACATTTACCAAGTACTTACTAAGTTCTGCGTTTCAGGCTGAGCCTTGGGAATTCAAAATCAAGAAAGTCTTACTCCTTGCCTTCATGTAACTACACTACACTATTAGCTTACGGGAAATATTCAATCAGTTAAAATTTCAGCTCTTTTTTTTTTCTTTTTTTAGATGGAGTCTCCTTCTGTCACCCAGGCTGGAGTGCAGTGGCACAATTTCGGCTCACTGCAATCTTCGTGCCCGGGTTCAAGGGATTCTCCTGCCTCAGCCTCCTAAGTAGCTGGGATTGCAGGCGTGCACCACCATGCCCGGCTAATTTTTGTATTTTTAGTAGAGATGGGGTTTTGTCATGTTGGCCAGGCTGGTCTCTAACTCCTGACCTCAGGTAATCCACCTGCCTCAGCCTCCCAAAGTGCTGGGATTACAGGCATGAGCCACTGTGCCCACAGATCTTCTTTATTTGTATTTCTACAAGCAGATCACTACCTCTGTCTACTGGTAAGTAGAGAAATTTACCTCCAACACTGGTGACGGTCACAATGACTTTAATCACAGATTACAAAGTAATCCTAATTACTTTTAAGAATGACAGCTTTTAGTTCTGCTTCCCCATACTTTATTTCATTTATTATCTCTTTAAACTTGTCTAAAAGTTAGAAAAAAAAGTTCTTTCACTTTCTTTATTTGTTTTTATAAAAATGAGAAGCATTGAGTGAAGGACAAGAACCTATAGTGAGCCTTCCACTTCTCTCCTCTAGTAAGTCATCATGCAACACACCTTGAGTACAATGTTTTTAACCAGATCAGAAATGATCAGTTCTATCATTCACCCTACATTTTATCAATTTATTTACAAGTCATATCCAGTGCTTTACAGTGCATATCAAGAGTTTTACTCAAGTTAAGATATATGCATATTTTCCTGATTTGCCATATTAATAATATTATAAAAGGATATAAAGTTTATTATGCTTAGTTCTCAGATAACTCATTTTGAAGCCTTTTGATGTCACAGTTCTCCAAAGTTCTTCTAAGTGCTCACAGTATTTTTATTATTCCATTCTACAATTTTGCTGGGGATTGAGATTATGTTTTCAAGTCTGTTGTTCCCAAGACTCCTCTTTTCAGCTTCTGGAAGTTTAACAATTTGCTGCCTGAGGTGTCATTTTTCCTCTCTTCCCAAAAAGTAACAAGAAAATAATATTTTTTTATTAGAACCCGAAGGTCACTAATACCAGATGAAGACATGCGCTTGCAGCAAGAGCAGAAATGGCTGAGAGGAGGATGCTGCTACATCTTGCACTGCTGAGATTTTCAAGTTTCCTTCAGTTACCATACAGTTTCTTCAGATGAAAACATAGTGGTAATCTGGTAACAGAAGCAGATATAATTGAAGTGTGTAATTCCTCCTCTGGTTGAAGGGAGCAAATAGAGCCCTTCTTCATACTTTAATATCCATATGAATCTCACCTGAAGATTTTGTTAAACTGCAGATCCCACATCAGCAGGTCTGTGTAGGACCCAACATTCTACCTTTCTAACAAGTTCCTGGGTGATGCTCGTGCTCTGACAGATGGCCCACACTTTGTGTAGCAGGGCCTGGGACATCCTCATAGAGTCCCTAGGGATACCCAAAGAATTATTCTTCATGTAGCTCTAGCATTTCCGCCTTTTTTTATGTAACTCCGTATTATTATCTTCTTCTCCTGTAGGCATAAATATGCTCTGCCCCAAAGATGTCTACGTCCTAACCCCTGGAACTTATGAATATGTTAGAGTACATGGCAAAAGGAAATTAAGTTTCAGATGGAATTTAGGTTGCTAACTAGCTGATCATGAAATAGCTAAATTATGCGGAATTATCTGGGTGGGTCTAATGTAATCACAAGAATACTTAAAAATGGAAGAGGGAATCAGTCACAGAGGGGTGTGACTCTTGAGGAATGGTCACAGAGAGACAGTGCTGCTGGCTTCACAGATGGAGAATGGGGGTGAGGAGCTTCTCAAAGCTGGAGAAAGAAAGGATAAATACATCTTCTCCTAGGCTCTCCAAAAAATAAAAATAAAAAATAACACAGCCCTGCCAACATTTTGATTTTAGCACAGTGAGATTCATGTCAGATTTCTAACCTTCAGAACTGTAAGACAATACATTTATGTTTTAAGCCAATAAATGGGTGGTAATTTGTTACAGCAGCAGTAGAAAAATACATTCTCCTTACCATGTTTTTCAATGAACAACTAAAGAGCCAACTCCAATAGTCTACATAAGACGACTTTCTCTCTGAAAAATCAGAAAATATTTGGGTGAAGCTTTTGTCCCTCTCTGGGTTGCTACTTCATTTTCAAGCTCATTTGTATAGATGCTAAAAAGAATCTTATTTTATGTAGAAGTCAGTGATTTGTATATATGATGATATAGTATACTTTATTGTACTAAGTCAGCATCTGGATTTTTTTAAAGTGCTCAAAATTGCTTTGCTGGTTTCAGAACAAGATTTATTGCTCAAACTAATTGCCTAGAGTCTGACTTTAAGTGTCACCTTTTGCTGTTTTTAGTGTTCAAAAATTACTGCTTTAAAAAAAAGAATTAAAAACCCATAAAATGATTTTTGGTTAGAATTTTTCTCCTTGTGGTATTTAAAGAAAAGCTTTGCCACATTTACCACCAAATAAGTTTCAATGTCAGCATAATAACCTTTCCATAAATTCTAAATTAGTTGGAATTTTGGTTGGAAGAAACCAGTACAAGTACTAAAATGGAAAGCATCAGGAATTCGATGAGCCTCTTATATGAACAGCTTTTAACCTCTCAGAGATTGGAGGGAGAGGGCAATGTCAATAAAATTAAAGCCTTCTGGGATTTCGCATCTTTAAGCAATTGAAGATGTGTCATGCAACAGTTCAACCGAGGAAATTATCTTAAAATAAATGCAGACATTTGATGGCATAGCAAGTAATGTAATTGCTAATGTAATGTAAAGAAGAATATAAGTGAAATATAACATCACAAAACCTGTGGAGGAGCTTCATATATTCAGATATAGTGGCTTCTTCTTTATGCATCATTCAATAACCTGTAGAAAGTTGCTTTCTGGTGGCAGCAGGGCTAGTTCTCAATGTAAGATGTAGGACTACAAGGCGTATCACAATGTCTTCCATCTCCCACTAGGAGTGAGGACTTGGGTAAGGGGTGGGGAGATCAGGATAAGAAGAGCATCAGGGAGGCCAGAAAGGGAAAGAAGATCAGGGAAGCGCTCCAGCATAGCAAC